>NC_000022.11:35679260-35830776 GCF_000001405.40 Homo sapiens | reverse complement strand
TTATATACTGTATAACAACATTTGGGTCAACGACAGACTGCATACACAATAGTGGTTCCATAAGATTATAATACTGTATTTTTACTGTCCCTTTTCTATATTTAGACACACAAATACTTAGGTTTGTGTTATGCTTGCCTACAGTATTCAGTATAGTCACATGCTGTACAAGTTTGTAGCCTAGGAGCAATAGGCGATGCCATATAGTCTAGGTGTGTAGTAGGCAATACCATCTAAATTTGTGTAAGTACACTGTGTGATGTTCACACAAAGACACTTGCTTAAGGACACGTTTCTCAGAACATATCCCTGTCATCAAGTGATACATGACTATTATTTATTACTTTGGGCCAGATGCATTTTTCTCCCACATGATTAATTTGTCTTTAAAGGTTCAGCTTAGACTTCACCTACTTCAGAAATCTTCCTGTCTCACACAGTTGTCCCTCTGTGCTTCATTAACATTCTGTATGCATTGTTCGTTTAGCTTATATGGTACTATAATTGTGAGTATATTTCTGTGTTTTTCCATCAGACTATAGTTTCTTTCAGGATTGGGACTATATCACCAGTGTCAGCATCCAGCAAATATTTCTTTTGAGTTAATTAATGATTTTTAACTTGCTAATTCATTGATAGTGTCCTCTTTTGAAATGTTGAATGGGAGAGTTAAATTGGGTAGTCACTTGTAACCTAATGCTTATTACTTAAATCAGTTAATACTTAGCACACATGTAGTTTGGGAAATAGATGCTTTACATGGCTAGAAGATTGGGAGGATTTTGGAATAAACAACTATTTGAGGGACACAGGAAACTCTTGTATTGTAGATGTTTTAGTGAAAGTGGAAGCCTGGGTGTATGACGGTAAATGGCATAGGAGCTCTAGCCTCCTGGGGAGTCAGGCAGGAAGGACGAAGGGCATGACTCCCGCAACTGGGGAAAGGGCACGACAGAGAAAGAGAAGTGGAAGGTGACAATGAAATCTTAGGGATTGGCAACCCATGGCAAGTATACCAAATGTGGTATATTGAGCATAGTCATCTTCCTCTCTGCTTTGCCTTCCACTCAAGATGGCCAAGAGTTAGATTCTTTACATACTACTTTTGAAAACTTGTCATCGCAGATATATAGCAGATCCTAACCAGCCATTCTATGTCATTTTCAAGGCTCACTATTCTTTTAGGTCTTTTTCCCTCCCTCTCTCTGTTTCTTTTTGGATCTTTTCTATATGGTAACATCAAATGTACTTACCTTTTTTTCCCTGCAACATCTAGTCTGCCATTAATCCAATCCAGTGGGTGTATATGTGTTTTTTAAATCTCAGATTATAGCTTTCGTCTCTAGAATTTTTATGTAGGTCTTTTTCACACCTCTCATGTCTCTTAGCATGTTCATTTTTTTCCTTTTTTATCTTGAACATATGAGACACAAATGTTTTAATGTCCTCATCTGCTAATTCTAACATATGTATTAGTTCTGGGTGAGTTGTGATTAATTTATTTTTCTCAGCATTATGTGTTGTAGTTTTCCTGCTTCTTTGCATGCCTGGTAATTTTTGACTGGATGCCATACATTGTGAATTTTATCTTGTTGGGTTCTAGATAATTTTTTATGTCTATAAATATTCTTGAGCTTTATCTACAGCACAACTGCGTTTCTTAGAAAAAGTTTGATCCTTTCGGGTCTTGGGTTGTTTGTTTGTTTTGTTTTGTTGTTTGTTTTTTGAGATGGAGTCTCGCTCTGTCGCCCAGGCTGGAGTGCAGTGGCGCGATCTCGGCTCACTGCAACCTCTGCCTCCCGGGTTCAAGCGATTCTCCTGCCTCAGCCTCCCGAGTAGCTGGGATTACAGGTGCGTACCACCACGCCTGGCTAATTTTTTGTCTTTTTAGTAGAGATGGGGTTTCGCTGTGTTAGCCAGGATGGTCTCTATCTCCTGACCTCAAGATCCGCCCGCCTCGGCCTCCCAAAGTGCTGGGATTACAGGCATGAGCCACCACGCCCGACCTCAGGTCTTGTTTTTTAAGCTTTGTTAGACAGGACTAGAGCTGTGTTTAGTCTCTGGTTAATTTTTCCTGGCCACTGAGGCAAGACTCTTTTTAAAACTCTAATGGATGCTCCTTACATCATTAGGTTTTCCACTCTGGCTGTTAAGAACAGGATTATTCTTGGCACTGTGTGAGCTCCTAGTACTGTTCCCTGTATTTCTTTCAGGTGGTTCTTTCCCCAGCCTCTGGAAGTTTCACACATAGATGTGGCAGTCATCACTCAACTGAGTACTTGAGATCTTTAGAGCTCTCTTTCTCTCTGCAACTTTCTCCAGTACCGTCCCCTGTGCTGTCTTGGCTTCTCCAGACTTCTAGGTCTATCTTCTCAATTCATGGAACCCACCAGGTTCTGCCTGGGTCCTTCCTTCTCTGCTGCAGCCTGGAAACTTTATCCATGTGATAAGTTGGGGCAGTTGTAAAGCTCAACTTGCTTGTTTCCTGACTCTGGAATCTCTGTCCTTCCTTGCCTACTAGACAATGTCTTGAGTGCTGTTGTTTCATGTATTTTGTGGTTTTTTTAGTAGTTTCAGGTAAAAAGAAAAATCTGTTTCTTTTTTTTTTTTTTTTTTGAGACAGATTCTTAGTCTGTTGGCCAGGCTGGAGTGCAGTGGCAGAATCTTGGCTCACTGCAACCTCCGTTTCCCAGGCTCAAGCAATTCTCCTGCCTCAGCCTCCCAAGTAGCTGGGATTACAGGCATGTGCCATTATGCCCTGCTAATTTTTGTATTTTTAGTAGAGATGGGGTTTCACCTTGTTGGCCAGGTCGAACTCCTGACCTCAGGTGATCTGCCCACCTCGGCCTCCCAAAGTGCTGGGATTACAGGCGTGAGCCACTGCGCCTGGCCTTAAATCTGGTTCTTGTTACTCCATCTTTATTGGAAGCAGAAGAGTGAACACATACTTTTAAATGAAAATTAAGCAGTGTTGCATTGAATATATTTTTAATTTATGAGTGAAAATCAGTTGAACAGTTCATTTCAAGGAGTATTAAGGAAGAATGCGTAAGATGTGTAAGTAATTATAATACAAAGTGGGATACAGTAAATTACATGAAAATGATGTCAGTAAAGTGTTGTTAAAAGCTTATATGAGGAAAGAGTTTGAGAAGTTTGGCAGAAGTGGAAGGTGTGAGGAGAATGGCTATGGCATTGCTTTGTGTGTGTATGTATATGCGTTATACAAGACATTATCTGAAACTAGAATCAAATTCTTTAGTATTGAGTGAGGTTTAGTGGTAGGATAGTTTCAGAGAGTCTAGGACTGATAAAATTAATGGGGGGAAAAAAGTCATTAGCAGAAATACCTAAGCAAGAACACAGGAAAAACAGAGTTTCCATGTTTTTATAGTTTGGTGTGATTTGTGGTCTTGCGGAAAAGGAGAAGCATCCTTTTTTCCTATGTATTACCTGCCCTTGCAAATCTTGCAGAAGAGGGAGAAAATTCAAAGTACTATTTTTTCACTGTGTTAAACAGTGTAAAAGATAGGGGCACTCCGGACTGTGAAAATGATGACCACTGCTGCAAACTTGGTGGAACCTTAGAAAACCTCAATAAGCAATATTTAGACTCTTTGAGTCATTGCTATTTAAATGATAATCAGATTATCTACAGATTTCAATGGCAACACATTGTAGAACTAAATAAGTAGATGGCATTGTTTATAGCTTTCTTAATTTCAGTTAAAATGGTCACCTGACTGTTGTTCGCTAACATAGAGCAACTGTGACCAAAAGCTTATCTAAGTAAAGTAATCCCCCCATCCACAGTGTCCCTTTTCATGGTTTCAATTACCCATGATCAACCATAGTCTGAAAATACTAAGGTATGGTATTTTGAGAGAGAGCGAGAAGGAGGCCACATTCACGTAACTTTTATTACACTATATTGTTATAATTGTTCTGTTACTATTAGTATTGTTGTTAATCTCTTACTGTGCCTGATTTGTTAAGTTAAACTTTCTCACAGTTATATATGTATAGGAAAAAAAACAGTATATGAGGGTTCAGTGCTATCTGCAGTGTTAGGAATCTACTGAGAGTCTTGGAGCATATGCCCTGTGGATAAAAGAGGCTACTATATATGCTTTAAAGTTTTCCCTCCTGAGGAACCAGGGGGCATTTTTGAAAAACAGGAGATGCAGGGGGGGAGGTTTGTTTACTTTTACTTAGCCTATCTCTTATATGCAATCTTTAGGAAGAAGAATGTGATTTTTCCCCTCATATTTGTATTGATGTGACTGTTCATATGAAAAAGAACATGGAGAACTTTAAGATTATAACTCAGCTGTTAGCATTTATATTTTGGACTATGTATGCTTTCTATTTTTTCTTATTCTTTCACAATAATAGTGGTAATTATTATCTCTATTTTTTTTTTTTTTTTTTTTTGAGATGGAGTTTCGCTCTTGTTGCCCAGGCTGGACTGCGATGGCGCGATCTCGGCTCACTGCAACCTCCGCCTCCCAGGTTCAAGCAGTTCTCCTGCTTCAGCCTCCCGAGTAGCTGAGATTACAGACATGCGCCACCAAGCCCAGCTAATTTTTTCTATTTTTACTAGAGATGAGGTTTCTCCATGTTGGTCAGGCTGGTCTCGAACTCCTGACCTCAGTGATCCATCTGCCTCAGCTTCCCAAAGTGCTGGGATTATAGGCGTGAGCCGCTGCACCCGGCTTTTTTTTTTTTTTGCCAAAAGCAAAGAATTTTTTATATATGATCTTAGTTAATTCCTTTTTTTTTTTTTTTTTTTTTTGAAGCGGAGTCTCACTGTCTTGCCCAGGCTGGAGTGCAATGGTGAGATCGTGGCTCACTGCAACCTCCACCTCCCGGGTTCAAGTGATTCTCCTGCCTCAACCTCCTTTGGTAGCTGGGATTACGGGCACCTGCCACCACGCTCAGCTAATTTTTGTATTATTAGTAGAGGCGAGGTTTCACCATGTTGGTTAGGCTGGTCTCGAACTACTGACCTCAGGTGATCCACCCGCCTTGGCCTCCCAGAGTGCTGGGATTACAGGCGTGAGCCACTGCACCCGGCCTATCTTAGTTAATTCTTGTAGGTACCCTTTTAGGTAATGATCCTTATTTTCATTTTGCAGATGAAAAACCGAAGGCCTTGAGAGCTTAAGTTACTCATCTAAGGTCACACAAATAGTACATTCATTGCAGAGCCTAAATTTTAACCCATGTTTATCTTTCTAAAGTTTATGCTATTTCTGGCCCTGCCCCCATTTTGATGACAGGTATTACATTAAGTATAATATAAAGAATACAGACCTTACTATTAAACTTTTTCTTTTTTTTTTTTTTTCACTTAGTCAAAATTTATTTGAAGGCCTGAAGACATTTAGTTAACTTTTTCTTTACATAAACTCTGCCTTCCCCCACCAAGTCTCTGTAACCCACCTTTGGCCAAACCCTTGAGAAATGTCTACTAATTGTCTTGGAGCCTTTGGTTCCTCTGGGGTAAGCACAGAATTGATTAATTTGACTATCTGATGCATTTTGGCTTCCCAAAATTTTATCTTATTAACTGCACTCCCAGGCTGGAGTACAGTGGCGCCATCATGGCTCACTGCAACCTCCGCCTCCTGGGTTCAAGCAATTCTACTGTCTCAGCCTCCCAAGTAAGTGGGACTACAGGCACATGCCACCATGCCCAGCTAATTTTTGTATTTTTAGTAGAGACGGGGTTTTGCCATATTGGCCAGGCTGGTCTGGAACTCCTGACCTCATGTGATCCACCCGCCTCGGCCTCCCAAAGTGCTGGGATTACAGGTGGGAGCCACCGTGCCAGGCCTAGAAAATTATTCTTGAATGAAGCTGGATAGTGTAGTTGATTTAATTGATAATGATAATAATGAAGTTTCAAGTGAGGAAGACTATAAGTAAAGAGAAGAAATAGATATGTCTTTTTATGCTTTTTTAAAGTATGCCCTGTTGGTTTAGCATTGACTTGACTTTCACAGGAAATGTGGAGTGAAAACTACAAACATTTTCATTACTAAACAACTATTAAAATATGGATGGCTTGTTTTTGGTTCTTTTGTTAGCTGGTTTCAGGTATCCCTAGTTCTGTCTTCCGCAGGCCACCTTTCTTAAGTTGAGATAGGTTTTCCTGTTCAGTAATAACAGTCTGTTTATAATAGCATTTCTGATGACTACTTCTAACATAGGACTCCCATTTCTTCTCCAGGCTGGCCTCATTGTGATAAAGGATTCAATGTTGTAATCACTGGTTTACATTTCATTGCCATTCCTGATTGAAGGATCAGAGTCCATGGCCTGCCTTATTGATCCATTTGCTAGAGATCAGTGGGGTAACGGGAATTATTTTCCTCTTTAGACTGCATTCTGATCTTGGCTACTATTGCATTCATGAAGAAGGAGGGAGATGAAAAATTAGGCATTCTAACTGGTAAATACTTGATGTTTTCTTTTGTTTCTGAGAGTAGTTAGACCCTTGCAAATCTTTTCTGTTTGTAAGGATTTAAAATAATGTTTAGCATATAGTGCTGGGTGTGTTTGTAGATGGCATTAGGACTGTGACTTACAGCACATATTTAGGGTTTTTTTTTTTGAGATGGAGTCTCGTCCGTCTCATCCTGTCTCCCAGTCTGGAGTGCAATAGCGCGATCTCGGCTCACTGTGACCTCCGTCTCCTGAGTTGAAGCGAATCTCCTGCCTCAGCCTCCCGAGTAGCTGGGATTACAGGTGTGCGCCACCACACCTGGCTAATTTTTTGTATCTTTAGTAGAGATGGGGTTTCACCATGTTGGCCAGGCTGGTCTTGATCTCCTGACCTCATGATCCACCCGCCTCGGCCTTCCACAGTGCTGGGATTACAGGCGTGAGCCACTGCATCCGGCCACATATTTAGTTTTGATCCTTCTCTGAGTTGCTTTGCTTCCTGTAATTTAAATGTGTCTAATTTATTAAAGCATAAGTATACAGGCAGTTTTAAAAATTGTAGTAAACACTTCTTATTTTCCTTTTAATCTTCTCTAATTTTCTTTTAATAAATCTTCGAGTTCTTAAAAGTTTTTTAAAGAAACATAAATGTTTAATAGTTATTTAACGTTTCTCAAATATATACAGGAAACTGGAATTAACAGAACTCATTTATGGTTGAAATCTTGTTTTGCAGAAAATAAATCATTACTTCTGGGTCAAGATGGTAGATAGATGCTTTCATTTGCCTCACATCTCTTACAAGACTCCCCTGAAATAACAGTATAGAAGTACAAAAAATAAATCAGCAATAGCAAATAGAAAAAGGTGAAATGTAGCACTAATATACAAGAGAGTTATTAAATTTCTGGAAAAGCTAAAACAAATGAGAACCAATAGTTGGATGAAATGAAGAATAAGCAGATGCCTGTTGGTGAATACAAGGAGGCTGCTTGCTAGTGTTATGGAAGCCAGTCTGTCCAGGGGGAACCCATGGGAGCTCTCTGAGCAAAAATGAAAGAGACAGAAAACAGAGGAATTCAGTGTTTATTTAGGGGATAACTCAGTTACCTGGCATTGCCAAACCCTTTCCAACCCCTTCCCAGTGGCAGTAGTCAGCAAGTACTATGCCATCCCCTTTCTCTAGCATTAACAAAGGAAAAACAAGGCCGGATGCGGTGGCTCATGCCTGTAATCTCAGCACTTTGGGAGGCCGAGGCGGGCGGATCACCTGAGGTCAGGTGGAGACCAGCCTGGCCAACATGGTGAAACCCTGTCTCTACTAAAAATGCAAAAATTAGCCAGGCGTGGTGGCAGGTGCCTATAATCCCAGCTACTTGGGAGGCTGAGGCAGGAGAATCACTTGAACCCGGAGGTGGAAGTTGCAGTGAGCTAGGATTGTGCCACTGCACTCCAGCCTGGGCGACAGAGTGAGACTCACTCTCAAAAAAAAAAAAAAAGACAACCCAAAGGAAAAACAAAACATAAAACAGTGTTTGTCTCCAAAGAAGTTGATCAGAATGTTTGGGGAAATTTAATTTTGTGTGTGTGTTAGATATTGGCACCTCTTCCTTTAGTCTCATATTTAGGGGGATGGAGAGGGAGGGCATTCTGCACTTTGCTAGTGGCTTACACTAACACAAAGCCTGCCAGTGACATGCTCTTCTCTGTCTTATACTGAGTTCCCATTAGAATTTTAATTCCAAAGAGAGATGTAATCAGAAAGCAAATTCACAGAGGAAACTCATACTAGCTAACAAGTCCTTTTACCTGGGTTACCAGTACGTGAGGATCATTAGAAGTCTTAGAGGAACTTTTAGCATGAAAGAGACCAGAAAAAACAAAAAGAAAACCTGAACCTAGGGGCAAAAGATAATGCAGGAAACAGAAGAGAACTTTAAAGGAATCTTCTAACTAAAATACTCATAAATACTCATTTATAAAACCAATACTAGGTATAATGAAGAGCAAACAATTAGAGAATGCAAAAGGAGATTTAGAACATTATTGTCAATGGAAAGCACACAGTAGAAGGATAGCCAAATAGAGTTGGAGATGCTCCCAAAAAGTAGAGGTTTAATTCACCAAAATGGAAAATACAAGACACAAGTCATAGACTCTGTTCTTAGCTAGTGTTCTCTAGAAAACAACCTGAAACAAAAACCTTACCCACTAACACTTTATTGGGGAGTACCATCTCAGGAAAGCAGGAGGGAAAGAAGAGTGAGACAAGGCAGAAAGGCTGGCCCTCTCTTTGTAATAGGCCTTGCTGATTGCTTGGTTTTACTGGAAGTCTTCAGGAAGGTTGTGTAGAGCTATTGCTTCTCTGTCCTTTCCATCCAAAGAAGGTGTGAAGAGGTGTTTATGGTTTCCTCCCATTTCCTGCTCCTCCCCCTTTTGGTCAAAGTTTGCCATACAAACAGTTAACTCACTTGACCCCTTCCTTCAGCGGCCTCAGGAGAGGAGGCCAGGTCCTACAGTCCTATGGGTAGATCAGGTGTGTACTGAGTATGTGTTGCCAAAGCTTGGGGGTGGTCAGAGCAGTCAGTAATCCCTAATGGCAGCCTCTGGCCTGGGAACCTCTGCCTTTTAGGGAACTATTAAAAGAAGGTCAGTCCTCAAAGGACTGACAGAGTGAAGGATAGGATACTACTGCTTTTTTTTTTTTTTTTTTTTTTTTTTTTTGGAGACGGAGTCTCACTCTGTCCCCCAGGCTGGAGTGCAGTGGCGCAATCTCGGCTCACTGCAACGTCCACCTCCACCTCCCAGGTTCAAGCAGTTCTCCTGCCTCAGCCTCCCAAGTAGCTGGGATTGCAGGTGTCCTCCACTACACCCCACTAATATTTTTAGTAGAGACGGGGTTTCGCCATGTTGGCCAGGCTGGTCTCGAACTCCTGACCTCAGGTGATCCGCCCACCTTGGCCTCCCAAAGTGCTGGGATTACAGGTGTGAGCCAACACGCCTGGCCAGGCTACTGCTGCTTTTAATCATAAGCTCTTCTTACCTATTTGATTTGCTATCATGTGCATGTGTTAATTTGATAAAGATAAAAAATAAAATTTAAAAAGAAAAAATGAATTACCAAAAACACTCTGGAAATAACTATCAAAGATATTTTAGAATGCATTTAGAAAACAGAATGAACTTCAAATATGAAAAAATAGAATCTAATTAGTTTATATCAGGAACATCTTGGACTGCTAGAATTGATCCTTTCTCCTTTCCCACTCTTTCTTGCTCACTCCTTGTTAGCCTACAGTACCCTGGGGTTGAAATCTAGTAGTCTTCTTCTCCTTCATACCCGTTGCCAGGTTCTGCCAAGTCTGCCTTTGGATTGTCATTGCTCAGGCCCCCCAGTCTATATCTCGCTGTGGCTATTGTATGTAGTTCATAGCTTTAGTGTAAGTCCCTTCAAAGTTTGTGGTATCCTTCTAATGAATCTCCTTGTCTTCCCTACCTCATATCACCTTTGTTTCCTGATGCTGAGTGTTGGTCACTTCCTGTACCACCATATCATTTTTGTTATAACAGAACTTTGTGTTTGCTTATATACTCTACTGGGTTGAAACATCTTTTATTTCTTTAATAAATACTTATTGAGAGATTTTAAGGCAGCCACTGGGATACAAAGATGAATTAGATCTGGACAATTACCTGCCTTCAAAGAGTTCATGTTCTGTAAAGACAATACATATGTAAGCAAATAATTGTAATTGAATATAAGTACCATAATAGAGTTAAGTATTAGGTTGGGGAGGGTAGGAGGAAGGAATGATTTTCCCCCTTTTTGAGTGAATTAGAAACCTCTAGAGAGGAGTAGATGCCCAAATACCTATTAAAGATTGTGTATGTATTAGCCCAATGAGTAGAAAGGAGAAAAGCTTTCTAAGCAGAAAGAATACTATGTGCAAAGAAACTGGAAGGTGAAACAGTACGTGGTGTTTTCAGCATTCGACACACATTAGATTACCACCTGCACCAAACCCTCTTCATCTCAGCTGAATTATCAGGGTCGCCTCCCAACAGGGCTCCCTGCCTTTGCCTTTGCCGAGTGGTACATTTAAAACCTAATTCTGACCACATCACTTCTCTGCTCAGAACTCTCAGTGGAGTGTAAAAGCTAACCTCCCTGCAGTGGCTGTAAGCTTTACAGGATTTCTATCAACGTCCCTCTTTCCCCACTGCTACCTTTCTCGCTTCATCTCCTGCCACTCTGTTCCATGCTTACTCCAGTCTGATCACATAGGTCTCCAAGGCCTCCATGTTCCTAGTTCTTAGAATGAGCTGCTTGTATTTTTGCCTGTGGGACTTTGCATTTGTGTTCCCTTTGTCTGGAGTCTTCTTCCATCCAGATACACGTATAGCTTGTTGCCTTAGTTTCTAAAAAATTATGATCAGTGTTACCTTGCTAGACCAGCCTTAGAAAATAGAAATTCTCTGTCTCTCCAGCCCAATACCCCGATACCCTCCTCTTATTTTTTCTCTGTAGCATACCATCTGTTTATTGTTTTACTTGCCAATTTATTATTTGTCTCTTCCTACTAGAATGTAAACTCCATAAGGGCAGGGACTTTGTCTTTTTAATCATCGTTGTTTCATCAGCAGCTAGAACAGAATATCTGATGAATGATAGATACTCAATAAATATTTGATGGCAAGAGTTGAAGCTGAATAGATGAAGTGTGCAAGGGGCATGACTTCCATGCAAAGGTATTTGGACTTGAGACTGTAAACATTGGCAGTCTAGGATTTTAAGAAGAAGATAAATTAACTATCAGATTTAGGTTTTATTTTAGAAAGATCATTCTGGCAGGTGCTTGGAGAGTTCATTAGGTTGAGGTTAAGTTAAAATAAAGCAGAACTCTTTAAAAACCAAAAAAAATGTTATTTAGATAGCCTAGGTGAGAGCAATGGCTCATTTTTCTTTTAATTTCCCATAGTACATAATGTGGACTCCCACATATAGCCTTATATGTATCTTAATAGAATGATTATTTATATTGTGGTAAGGTCCCTGGCAGAGTTGGTAAAGCTATTGAGAGAATGGTTCCTATCTTTTTTTTATAGACTTATACTGCAGAAGCAGGTATTCAATTACCTGGTTAATTCAATTACCAGGCATTTTCTAAAGGGCACTTCCTATATGCTCATCATCACTTCATTTGGTGAGGAAGCTATGATGAAGACGTTTATGATTCAGTCCCTGGTTGACTTAGGGACTTTACTTGTTAAATGATTAAAGAATATATAAGCCACCATGTAACCATGGTTGTAGACAAAATGTGTTTTGTTCTGGGAAAGGGATAGGGAAAATTTTTCTCTGTTACTATATGTATATCATGTGAATTTTCTATTTTAAAGAGGTAGACTACAACAGAATACCCAACAAAATTTATAAAGCATAATTAAATATTTTGTAATTCAGAAGACACTCTACTACTTTGCCAGTGTTTTATTTGGAACCTGAGTGACATCTATTTCTTTGTTTTGTTTTTTCCTTAGAGACATGGTCTCTCTCTGTTGCTCAGGATGGAGTACAGTGGTGTGATCTAGGCTCACTGCATCCTCAAACTCCTGGGCTCAAGTGGTCCTCTCACCTCAGCCCCCTGAGTAGGTAGTACTACAGGTGCATGCCACCACACCTGGCTATTTAAAAAAATTTTTTTTGTAGAGATAGGGTCTCGCTATGTTGCCCAGGCTGGTCTTGAACTCCTGGCCTCAAGCAGTCCTCCCACCCCGGCCTTCCAAAGTGCTGGGATTACAGGTGTGAGCAATGCCACCTGGCCTATTTTTAAGGCTATTCCAGTTTAGCATATGGAAGATGCAAACTTAATTGTCCATGATGACAAAATAATAAATTAATTTAGATTGTAGTGAAAAGTTTGGTTGAGAAAAAGAATAATTTTCCATGGATTGTGTAAATCCATTGGAATAGAATATTTACATTGAATAGAACAGACAGTTAACTATTAATTGTAAGGGCCTTCCATTTCCAAAGAAGCAGGTAGCTGAACCAGAGTAGTTCTTGCTGTCTGTTGTTGCCAGTGGAAGACATGATTCATGAATGTTTGAGGTTCTAAATACTTGTTTAAGGAGAAATAGAGGAAAGAGCTTTTAAGAGGTTGGAAATATTAAGACTATTACAGGGTTTGTTGCTTTTCACCTAATAGACTATAGGTTTGAATGACTTTGTTCTGAAATATTTATTTTCCTGTTTAAATATTCATTGCTGTGAGATTTCAAAACTCAGCCTCAAGGGAAAGACCGGACTGGCTTTTCCCTCTGAGTAATTCAGAAGAGGGGTGTGTGTGTGTGTGTGTGTGTGTGTGTGTGTGTGTTGACAAGTGATTTGGAGGCAAGTTTACAATATTCTTGTTGGCCAAGCCTGTAACTGCCCTTAAATTTACATATACCAGCTTGTGTCATTTATTGGTATTCTAAGCAAGGATTTATATTGTATTGCCTGGTTTTTTAAAAATTTATTTTATTAATTGTCTGTTTATAAGAGCTCAAGATTGTACTGGTCGTGTTCCTGAATTCCAACGCCCCCTTACATGACTGCAGCACACTCATCTTTTGGTCCTGATTCTTTAGTTATACCCACGCTAAAAGAAGGATCCATTGTGAGGCCTACATTTCAGTAGATTTGCACTTTAGAAAACAACTAGTGTTTATTCTCTTAGCTGCAGGTTCCATATAAGAAGGTAACCCTCTACTTTTAGGAAACTTACATTTATAGCCACTGTTGCCTTCCTCTCATCATCTATGCTCTCTTTTTATTTATTTATTTATTTATTTATTTATTTATTTTGAGACAAAGTCTTACTCTGTTGTCCAGGCTGGAGTGCAGTGGCGCGATCTTGGCTCACTGCAACCTCTGCCTCCGATGTTCAAGTGATTCTCGTGCTTCAGCCTCCCAGGTAGCTGGGATTACAGACGTGCACCATCACACCTGGCTGTTTTTGTATTTTTAGTAGAGATGGAGTTTCACCACGTTGGCCAGGCTGGTCTTGAACTCCTGACCTCATGTGATCTGCATGCCTCAGCCTCCCAAGGTGCTGGAATTACCTTGGGAGCCATGGGGCCTAGCCTCTATGCCCTCTTTAATCTCTTAACTGACTCTGTTCTTCTAAAGGTGTAGATGCTTCAGGACATGTCCTGGAGGCATGCTGTAACCATAATTCTCTCCCATTTTGCCAGCCAAAGCCTCTAAGTCAGTGTTTCTCAGAATGTGGGACCCAAACCATCTACACCAGTAAGTACCAGGGTCCTGTTCCAACCCACTGAATCCTAATCTATGGGGAAAGGATCTTGACATGTGCATTTTTAAATATGTTCCCTGAATGGGTGTTATACGCAATAAAATATGGTCATCTTTGCTTTCAAAGAACAAGGTAAAAGATGAGTTGGTAGGTGTGAGGAGCTGGGTTGTATGGAAGTAGTTTCTTACTGCATCTTACTGTTGAGACTGAAGCAGGAATGGGTGTGTCTGAACTCCTTACCCGAAATTAGACATTTTTTTCTTAAACTAATACTTCAATGGCGATTGGTTTTTATTACAGTAATCCTTATTATATAATCATTGAATCTGTTTCCATGAGCTTCCTTGGGATCTTGGCCATTCAGTAAGTTCCAGACAACCAAGTGAAAAGCGAACTCTTAGAATTCAACCTGAAGGTAAATATTTGGAGACTACATGGAGATTTCATTGTATAGATTTTTCCTCTCAACATCACATTTACCTACAAGTTGCCTAACATCTTATGGCTCTGAGTGTAGTTCAGATGTATTGTAAAAGAGAAAATGTATTACTTTTACCTAACTTACCAGAAATGTATTCAGGATTATTAGACACTTAACACTTTTGTCTGCTCTGGGTGCTCAAAATTGTGAAACTTTCTTGAGGTGAGAAAAGCAAAACAATTCTACCCTACAGCTCTCCTCTAGGTTATGGTAGTTTAAAAAAAAAGTTAAGAACAGTTCAATAGCTTGGTTGTCTTTAGACTTAAAAACAAAACAAAACAAAACAAAAAACGAGAATATTTTAGATACTGAAGGAAGGAGATTTGGGATTTAAGTATTTGTGTAAGTTAAGAATCTAGAGTAATTTTGCTTTAAGTCTTGCAAATGAGCATTGTTTTGTCTTTGTATGTGTTTATCTGATTTATTTATCTGGATTTTCCTGGTCTGTTCTTCTACAGAGTTAATTTTTTTAAAAAAACGGATCCTAGATGATTTTAAATCCAGTGTTGTCTTCTTATCTTTCTGAGAGAACAGTTATATAGCTGTTATTTTCCTCTTGTCACAGACAGCTGGGCAGAAGCCACTGCTTTTAGTACCAGATCTGAGAATGACAGGCCTTTGCCTAGGTACTCTTTTTTTTTAAACAAAGGCAAATAGAGTTTGAAATCTGAGCCCATCTAAGCAAATCCCAAGGGATCAAAATGATATAATTTGTAAAAATACTTAAAAGTAAAAACATTTTATTTGTATTATAATCCTAGAAAATTAATTTCCATTTATAAATAGCACTAGAAAAACTATTAGTGACATTGTCAGTGGTAATAAACTGGTGAGAATATGCTCTACCAAAATAATGAAGTGATTCTTTTATGATGGTGTGAATAAAATTAATATTGATCTGTTTGTGTGCATGATCCATTCTGACCATATATGTGGTATGGGAATTGAGAAGCTTTTAGGATTTGCAGCCTGTTGATTAGAAGCAATACAATAGCAGTTTATGTATATAAGTGGGACTCAAGGTGACCAAACTGAGAAAATTAGAATGAAGTTGAGGAATAAATGAGAAGATATAAACAAAAATACACCCTTCTCTCTCAAAGATTACATAGACTTTAGTTATCCTAGAAATATGAAGACAATTATATTTTGGGTCATTTCTGTGTTCTCTTACAGTACTGTGCATAGGTTTTAAATAATATTCAGAATAATTCAGTAGGAACAGAAAATATGCTAAAGAATCAGTAACAAAACAGTTTCACCTGCTCTCTCAATTAATTTTCACACCCACCTCTGAAGTAAACAACCCATCTGGTAAGTGGTATAATTGGAATTTAAACTCAAGTCTGACTTTTAGGTTCATGCTTTCTTCTGTTTTACTACATTCCATGTAAACTGGGGAGAAGGCACATGGTTGGACCTAGAAAAAACACTGAAAGTCACCTGTCGGTAGGTGATGATTGAACCTCTGAGATTGCTGTGGGTAAGGCAATAGACTGTTGAATGGGTTCCTGTTTGACGACTGTAATACTATAGTTGTCTGTCCATAGCCACGGGTTCTGCATCTGTGGATTCAAGTAGCTGCGGATTGAAAAATTAGGGTGGGAAATTGGATGACTGTGTCTGTACTAAACATGTACAGACATTGTTTCTTTTTAGGAGACAGGGTCTCCCATTGCCCAGGTTGGTCTCAAACTCCTGAGCTCAAGAGATCCTCCCTCCTTGGCCTCCCAAAGCATTAGGATTACAGCTGTGAGCCACTGGCCTGACCAGACTCTTTTTTCTTGACACTTTTTTCTTTTCTTTTCTTTTTTTTTTTTTTTTTTTTTTTTTTGAGACAGGGTTCCACTCTGTCGCCCAGGCTGGAATGCAGTGCCATAATCATAGCTCGCCACAGCCTCTATCTCCCAAGCTCAAGTGATCCTCTTGTCTCAGCCTCCTGAGCAACTGGGACTACAGGCACATGCTACCATGCCCAGCTAATTTTTAAAAATTTTTTGTGGAGACAGGATCCCACTATGTTGCCTAGGTTGGTCTCAAACTCCTGGGCTCAAGTGATCCTCCCTCCTCAGCCTCCCAAAGATCTGGAATTACAGGCATGAGCCACCATGCAGGGCCTTGTCATTATTTTCTAAACACTACAGCATAACAACTATTTACATAACATTTACATTGTACTAGGTATTATAAGTAATATAGAGATGATTTAAAGTACACAAGAGGATGTGTGTAAGTAGGTTATATGCAAATACTATGCCATTTTATATAAAGGGCTTGAGTATCCAAGGATTTTGGCATCTGTGGTGGGCGGGGGCTGGGAGGTTCCTGGAACCAATTACCTGCAGATATGAAGGGACAACTGTATGTTTGAATTCAGAATGAAAACATTTAGCATATTTCACATTGTACACCAAAAGGCTGTATATAATATGTATCGCCTCTGTTACTATCTGTGGTTTAAAAGAGAAAGACATCATTCTCAACTCAGAAATTAATAGTTACATTTGATTTTCACTCACAGCTGGTCAACAACTCTTAAAGCCTGTGTTTGTAAGACAGAAGGAAATTAAGTGCATAAAGCACAAGCATGTAAATGTTGATTCTTTGCTTTCCTAATGCTTCCCCACTTCTACTTTCCCATCCCTGCACTCCAGTTTGATATCAACCCAAGATACCAACACTTGTTTCACTCTGTGTTATCCCTTGTTATGCTCTCTAGCCCAACAAAGCAGTTTGCTGTAATGTGCACACACCTGACTTTCTATCTCAGTCTTCCTCTATTTCATAAATGTTTAACACTTCATATTTATTATGTACGATGTGGGATTCTACATTGTACAGGACTGTCTCCACCCATCATAATGAGCCTTTTAATCTAATAGGGGAGTTAAAATACATATTTACGTTTGCTAAGTATGAGGCTTTAGATTTCAATGTCTTATAGGGGATGCAAGCTAAATGTTATAAGAATATAGGAAAGGAAGGAATTACTTTTAACTGGAAACAGAAGAAAGTTTATAAATTGCTAGGTTAGGGAAAAGAGCTATTCTGTCTAGCCTTGTGGACTAAAGAGAAAGCTAGTAATTTCTTTTCTCAGATGAGATATACTTAAGCAGCTTAGCCTCTGGTAATAGAAACAAAACATTTTTATATAAGTATAGAGGTAAATTCATACCTAGAAATACTCATGTGAACTGTTATCTCATAGTTTGCTGAAGGCTGTTGTACTTCTCTTCTGAGCATAGAACTTTGGAATATGGCCTGGAAATTTAATACAAATCTGAAACCATTTGACATTTTTAATAATGTATACTTGGGGAAATATTCAGACATTGCATGCTATATGAGAGAAAATGTTAAATCACTCCTATCCCAATTTCATTCCCTTAATATATAAACAATTGTTGTTACATTTTTAACAAAAATTTTAAAAGAAATTTCTGTAAGTAACAAAATAATCCACTAAGAATTTCTTCTTGACCTCTTAAGGGAGGTACATAACCCCTCTAGGAAAACAGAGCCTCTGCCTGGCTTGCATTTCTGTAAAACGCCTAGTGCCTAGGCTACAAGTGGATTGCAGGAAATGTTTTTACCTTTCTCCCCATCTCCCACTGCTAATTGATGTGTTTATTCAGTTATCTGAGTCAGCCCTGTTGAGAATAACGCTGTGAGAGAATTCATACTGTGTACTTGTGTGCCAGAGTCTCATTCCCAGCAGGCTGGGGTGGAGAATGGAGGCTGGAGTAAAACGAGGAGGCTGAAAGGAGCAGTGTCAGAGCAGGAGAAAGTCGCCTTGGCCTTGTTAATCCTAACTTGAAAACTCTATCTTTTAGCTTTTACCAATTATTTAGTAGAACTTTCTTATGGATTCCTGTGAGATTATATTTATGCCTGATGTGGGCATAAGACCTTTGGTGCTCTTATTGTGTTTCATTCACCAGTCCACCTGAATTCCAATTCAATTCTTTTTCATGTCTGTCTTCAGGCCAGTAGATTCAGCGAGGGCTTCTGAAGCAGTATGTTTCATATGGCTAGAGAGAGACAGAGAGATAGAGCATTGAATAATTTGAAGGGGAAGGGAGATAACTATTTTATATCTCTCGTCAGATGCCCAGAATAGCTATAAAGACATCATAAAAACTATCCTAACCTAGAAATAACGTAAAGAAGTTATATGGTGATGGGTGACGAAGATAGACTTTTTCCAAAAAAATTTAAAGTTTTCATAACATATTTTCTAAGAACTAAAGAGAGGGGTTTTTTTTTTTTTCTATCTTTTGAGATGGAGTCTCACTCACTCTGTTGCCCGGGCTAGAGTTTAATGGCAGCGATGTCAGTTCACTGCAATGTCCTCCTCCTGAGTTCAAGCGATTCTCCTGCCTCAGCTTCCAAGATATCTGAGATTAAAGGCATTTGGCACCATGCTTGGCTAATTTTTGTATTTTTAATAGGGATGGAGTTTCACCATGTTGGCCAGGCTGGTATTGAACTCCTGACCTCAAGTGATCTGCCCGCCTCAGCCTCACAAGGTGCTGGGATTACAGAAGTGAGCCACCACACCCAGCCTTTTTTTTTTTTTTTTTTCCCTTAAGAGACGTGGTCTTTCTGTTGCCCAGGCTAGGGTGATGCAATCATGGCTCACTGCAGCCTCCAGCTCCTGGGCTCAAGCAGTCCTCCTTTCTCAGCCTCACAAGTAGCTGGGACTACACATACCACCATGCCCAGCTAATTTTTTAAAGTTTTTCTAGAGACAGGGTCTCTTTGTGTTGGCCAGGCTGATCTTGAACTCCTAGCCGCAGGCAGTCCTCCCATCTCAGCCTCCCAAAGTGCTGGGATTACAAGGGCATGAACCATTATGTCCAATAGCAGGAAAATTTTTATGTAAAGCAATTTATTTTTATTTTTATTATTAATTTCTGTTACAGAATCTTCATTCCTGCCTTTACCAGTTTGCAAGGGCTGCCATAAGAAAGTATTACATAACAATATAGCAATGTATTTTCTTACCATTCTGGAGGCTAGAAGTGCAAGATCAGGGTGTCAGCAGGGTTGGTTTCTTCTGATGTCTTTTTTGTTGGCTTGTAGATGGTCATGCTCTGTGTCTTCACATGGGCCTCCCTCTGTATGTGTCTGTATCCACATTCCCTTTTCTTATAAGGACACCACTCCAATTGGATTAAGGCCCACCCTCATGACATCACTTTAATTACCTTTTTAAAGACCTTATCTTTAAAAACAGTGACATTTTGAGGTACTGAGGGTTAGAACTTCAACATACGGGTTGGAGACTGAGCACAACTCAGTCTATGACTCTGCCCCTTCCCACTGATAACTGTAATCAGTTCATCACTTTTTATCTAGACTGTGGCAGCCCCCCACCCCCAATTCTCTGCCTTTTTTCTTTCACCACTATTGTGTAAAGCAGTTTTTATTACCAAGTAGAAATGATTCTTGGACATTGGAGACAGCTGAATTTTGAAGTTGTTTAACTTTTAAATGGAAGAGAGTTATGAATTTTTGTTTCAAGGTAGGTCACTACCATTCTCTTAAGAGTAACACAGTAATTCAGTGTTTCAGAATATTGGCTTCCCCTTATTGATGATATATTTTTTGTCATTCTCTTTAGTATTAAAAACAATATATTTGTATAGGTTTTATTACAAAAGTAATATATGTTTATTATTGGGGCACAAGGAAACTTTTGGGGGTTTTGGATATATGTGTTGACTATCTTGATTGTGGTGATGATTTCATGAGAATATAAGTGCATATATCAAAACTTACCAAATTGTATACTGTAAATAAATAAGTGCTGTTTATCATATGACAGTTATATCATAATAAAACTGCTTAATTTTTTTGCTGATTTGATGACTAAAGACTTGGACTTACTTTGATGTTAATGTGAATTTTCGTGACAGTTAGTGAGGTTGAGCATTTTTATTAGTTGTTTGTATTTCATTTTCAATGAATTGTTCAGATACACAGTTTGCCTGTTTTTCTCTTGGGATGTGTGTGTGTTTGTGTGTACATGTGTGTCTGTCTTGTCAACTTGGTTAACCCACTCTGGGACTAGTGATAATAACCCAGCATCTCTCTTACCTTTTGCTAATATTTTCTCCTAGTTGATTTTTCTTTTTTGTTTTTCGTATTTTTTAGGGACAGAGTCTCTCTCTGTGGTATAGGCTGTAGTGGCTTGTGGTCCAAAGTGGGCTCTCCACCTACTTTTAATTTAAAGGAAAGATTTTTGCCCCTTTGGCATCTAGTCCACTTAAATATGGTTGTGGGCCTGTCTAGTAACTACACATTAACAAAAGTGAGTGTGTGTGTGTGTGTGTGTGTGTGTGTGTGTGTGTCTGTCCACATACATATATCTATGTGTGTATGTGTAATAATATTTTCTCCAATCCTGGAGCAATAAGCATTCCATTTTACCTATGCAGTGAGAGAATATTCAGAGAATTCCATATACTCACTTTAAAAATAGTTACGTAACAAGGATTCAAAGTCACTTTTTCTTTCTCTTGTTGTTTGTTTTAGGGTAACCAGGAGCCGACAACAACTCCTGACGCAATGGTTCAGCCTTTTACTACCATCCCATTTCCACCACCTCCGCAGAATGGAATTCCCACAGAGTATGGGGTGCCACACACTCAAGACTATGCCGGCCAGACCGGTGAGCATAACCTGACACTCTACGGAAGTACGCAAGCCCACGGGGAGCAGAGCAGCAACTCACCCAGCACACAAAATGGATCTCTTACGGTACGTGGACCATGAGGTGAAAAATGGAAGGATGCATGGCAATCATATAGAAATTGTCGCCTTAATTATACAATTAGAAGACTCTCGGAATTAATTTAGCATTTACACCTGTTCTCATTTACACCTTCTCTCAACAGCATTGTATACATTGTCCTCCCTCCTCCTAGAAATACTTAGTCTCTTGGCTTTTCGAGCTCTCCCAATTTTCCTGCCAAGCACTGGGTGTTCTGCTCCTGCCTCCTTCTCTGTTCAACTTTTAAATGGTGCAGTACTCCATATGTAGGTCCTGGAACCCCTTTTCTTTTTATTTTATATCCTTTCTCTGCATAATTATACTACCAAACTCAAGCAAAACCTAGGAATATTCTTTCTTTCTTTCTTTCATCTGTACATCTAATTGATTAGCAAGTCTTGACAACCATAACTCTAAAACTACTTCGTCTTCTTCTCTACATCTTATTACTCTTCCACCAAATTGCTTGTGTTTGAATCTCAATATGGCCCCTACTAAACTGTGTGACCTTGGACCAGTTATTTAATCTCTCTGCCCTTGGCTCACTCTAAAATGAAGATAATAGTACCTACCTGAAGAGGCTGTTAGGAAATTTAAAAGAATTTATCATCATCACTGCTCTAGTCCAAACCTCATCACTTATTTCCGGTATTACTGTTGCCTAACTTATCTATCCTCCACATAGGACTAAGGTGGTTTTTTTTTTTTTTTAATGCAAATGCCGATTTCCTACTTAACTCTTAATAGTTCCCTAATGCAATTAGAATATAATCTGAACTCCGTACTTGGTTTACTAGTCTCTAGCCCCAGCTTACCTCTTTGACTTCACCTCTTACTACTAACTTGCTAAAGTAAAGGAAATGTCATAAATTAATAATAGGTATATATCTCATACATACCAACATATGGGAAATTGTATTGTCTCTTGCTTTGTTGTCCAGGCTGGAGTGCAGTGGCATGAACATAGCTAGCTCACTGCAACCTCAGTCTCCTGGGCTCAAGTGATCCTCCTGCCTCAGCCTCCCATCTAGCTGGGACTACAAGCACACACCCCACGCCCAGCTCATTTTTTAATTTTTTTTGTAGAGACAGGGTCTCCTTTTGTTGTTGTCCAAGCTTATTTTGAACTCCTGTCACTCTATCCTCCTACCATGGTCTCCCAAAGTGCTGGGATTAGAGGCATGAGCCACCATGCCCAGCCTTGTGTGGTCTATTTCTAAAGATAGAAATGTTCTACAGTCTGCATAGAAAGACCTAGCTCTGTCGTTAGATTTCTTTTTCTCTTTCCTATATCTGGTTATGAAAAGGAGAGCTTTACTCAGCCTTTAAGCCACTTGCTAAGGATGGATTTAACCCATAAATGCTTTCAATTTTCTTTCATCAAGTATTGAACCACCAAGAAATTCCTACTTTCGATGTTTATTAGTTATGTATAAGCACATAATTTTATACTTCAGAAATAATTGGCTACAATAGATAATTTAAGAGTCTAGGCTTGATAGGTAACAAACGAGACTTTCAGTAGCATTTGTTCTAGAATCATAAACGTACAGGCTGATGTATTGACTGCATTTCCAAATAACTTTTTAATGATCATGAACTCACAGACCTATCAGAATAACTGTTTCAATTAAAGAAGTGAAAAAGAAGAAATAAAATATATGTGAGGATTTTCCAAGGTGTTTTAATTAATAAATTTCTATACTAATTATCAGGGTTTTTTTTTCATTTTTATTCTCTGTTTCTTGTTAGTTTGGGTAATTTGTGTCTTTTTAGCAATTTGCTTCATATAAATTGTCAATTTTGTTGGTATAAAGTTATTCATAATTTCATATAATCGTTTTAATTTTTGTAGGGTCTGTGGTGATATCCCTGTTTATATTCTTGATTTGGCAATTTGTGTCTTCTCTCTTTTTTTATTGGTCAGTCTAGCTAAGGTTTATTAATTTTGCAGATTTTTCCAGGAAACCAACTTTTTTTTTCATTGATTTTTGTTGTTTTTCTATTTTATTTTTCATTAGTTTCCACTCTGTTATTATTTCTTTCTTCTACTTGCTTTGGGTTTGATTTGGTCTTTATTTTGCCAGCCTCTTGAGTTGCAAGCTTAGGTGATTGATTTTAGATTTTCTTCCTTTTTGTGTTTAAAACTGTAAACACAGAAAGTTTCCCTTTAGCTGCATACCGTAAAATATGATCTATATTGTTTTTATTTTTTTTTCGTTCGAGACATTTTAAAAATTTTTCCTGTGGTTTCTTCTTTGCTCCTGGGTTGCATAGGAGTATGTTGTTTCCTTTCCAAATGTTTGGGGATTTCCCCCAAATTTCTTTCTTTTATTGATTTATAATTTAATTTCTTTGGCGCTTCACATGATCTCAATTTTTTTTAATTTATTGAGACTTGTTTTATGGTTTACTAGACAGTCTTTCCAACAAAATATTCTTAACCAATTGGTTTTTTCATCAATATGAAATGTCCCTCTTTGTCTCTTTTACTATTTCTTGGCTTATAGTTAACCAAGAAATAGTAAAACTATTTGTCTGATATTAATGTAATCACTTCAGCCTTCTCATAGTTACTGTTTACATATTTTTTTCTGTCATTTTGTTTCAACTGCTTTGTATCTGAAGTATATCTCTTATTTAACAAAATTTAAAAAAGAAAGGGCCAGGTGGGGTGGCTCACGCCTGTAATCCCAACACTTTGGGAGGCCGAGGCAGCTGGATCATCTGAGGTCAGGAGTTTCAGACCAGCCTGACCAACATGGTGAAACCCTGTCCTTACTAAAAATACAAAAATTAGCCGGGCGTGGTGGTGTGCGCCTGTAATCCCAGCTACTCAGAGGCTGAGGTAGGAGAATCGCTTGAACTGGGGAGGCGGAGGTTGCAGTGAACTGAGATCATGCCACTGCACTCCAGCCTGGCCCACAGAGTGAGACTCCGTCCCCCACTCCCCGAAAAAAGTGCACAGCTAGATCCTGCTTCTTGCTTCTTCATCCAGTCTGAAAATTTCTGTCTTTTTATTGGAGCATTTGGTCAATTTGCATCTTAATGTAATTATTAATGTAGGTAGATTTATGTCTGTCATTTTACTGTCTCATGCCTTTTATTGTTCCTTTGTTCCTTCTTTACTGATTCCTGTTAAATAATTTTTGTACCTTTTACATCCATTTGTGATATTTTTTCTTTAGTTATTTTTTGTTTGTGCTGGTGTTTCTTGTATTTTCTTAGTGCTTTCTCAAGGAATTACATCTTTGACTTATCACAACTTATTACTAATGGTTGTGTGTGTGCACATGCATGTGTGTCTTATTCTGGTTAAATATAGCAGCTTAGGTCTAATATAGCTTCATTCCCCACGCGCCTTTGTGCTATTGTCATACATATTATACCTGTATATTTTAGATATATAACAATACACTATTATAATTATTACTTTAAACAATCTTACGTTGTTTTTTTTTTTAAGATCTCCTTTTTTAGAGCAGTTTTAGGTTCACAGTAAACTGAGAAGATAGTACAGACTTATCCCATATACTTTCTGTTCCCACACATGCATGGCCTCCCCCACTAACAACATTGCACACCAGAGTGGTACACCTGTTACCATTGATGAACCTGTATTGATACATCTTTATCACCTAAAGTCTGTTAGAGTTTACTCTTACTGGTGTACGTTCTGTGGGTTTGGATAAATGTATAGCATATAGCCAGCATTATAGCATCACAAAAAGTAATTTCACTGTCCTAAAAATCCTCTGTGGTCTGCTTGTTTATCCCTCTCTCCTCCCCACAACCCAACCCCTGGCAACCACTGATCTTTTAACTATCTGCATAGTTTTTCCTTTTTCAGGATTTCATGTAGTTGTAATCCCACAGTATGTAGCTTTTTTCTGATTGGCTTCTTTCACTTAGTAATATGCATTTAAGTTTCCTCTGTGTCTTTTCAAGTCCTAATAGTTCATTTCTTTTTCAGCACTGAATAATAACCCATTGGTCTGTATGTACCACAGTTTGTTTATCCATTGACCAATTTAAGGGCATCTTGGTTGCTTCCAGATTTTGGCAGTTATGAATAAAGCTACTGTAAACATTCATATGCAGGGTTTTTTGTGGACTTAGTTTTGAACTTCTTGGGGTAAATACCAAGGGCCATGATTGCTGGATCATATGATAAGAGTATGTTTAATTTTATAAGAAACCACCAAACTACATTCCAGAGTGGCTCTACCGTTTTGCATTTCCACCAGCAATGAATGAGAGTTCCTGCTGCTCCACATCCTCGCCAGCATTTGGTGTCTGGATTTTGGCCATTCTAATAGATATGTAGTTGTATCTCATTGTTGTTTTAGTTTGCATTTCCCTGATGACATATGACATGGAATATCCTTCCATGTGGTTATTTGCTATCTTTATATCTTATTTGGTGAGGTATCTGGTAAGGTCTTTGTCTTACTTTTTTTTTTTTTTTTTTTTTTTTGAGACGGAGTCTCGCTCTGTCGCCCAGGCTGGAGTGCAGTGGCGCGATCTCGGCTCACTGCAAGCTCCGCCTCCCGGGTTCACGCCATTCTCCTGCCTCAGCCTCCCGCATAGCTGGGACTACAGGTGCCCGCCACCACGCCCGGCTAATTTTTTGTGTTTTTTTTAGTAGAGACGGGGTTTCACTGTGTTAGCCAGGATGGTCTCGATCTCCTGACCTCGTGATCCGCCCGCCTCGGCCTCCCAAAGTGCTGGGATTACAGGCGTGAGCCACCGCGCCCAGCCTTTGTCTTACTTTTTAATCAGGTTGTTTGTTTTCTTATTATTAGATTTTAGAATTCTTTGTATATTTTGGATAACAGTCCGTTATCAGATAAGTCTTTTCCAAGTATTTTCTCCCAGTCTGTGGCTTTTTTCAGTTTCTTGACAGGATTCATTTTATTTTATTTTTTGACTATTTTTAGTGATCTTCATGTCTTCCTATAGGTCCAAGTTATTATGCAGTGTCATTTCCTTTCAGTCCAAAGGACTTCTTTTAGTATTTTTTTTTAGGCCTGCTGGAAACAAATACTGTTTTTGTTTATCTGGGAATGTTGTTTTTTTATGTGTTCAGTTTTGAATGATAGTTTTGTTAGCTATAGGATTCTTGGTTGACAGTTTCTTCCTCCACCCCCCAGCCCTTTAAATATGTCATCCCATGGACCACTCCCATGGGAGTCAGCTGATTGTGATGAGAAGTCAGCTGTTAACCCTGGTGTTGGTCCCCCTGTAGGTGATGAGTTGTTCTTCTCTTGCTGATTTCAAGATTTTCTGTTTGTCTTTGGCTTTGAGCCGTTTCTCTATGATGTGTCTAGGAGTGGATCTCTTTGTTTTTATCATACTTGGGTTCTCTTGAGATTTTGAAATATATATTCATCAAATTTGGGATGTTTTTCACCATAATTTCTTCAAATTTTTTTTTCCTTTCTTCTCTCTTCCTGGGCCTCTGATTACACATAATTTTCTTTTCCCCCGAGATGAAGTCTTGCTCTGTTGCCCAGGCTGGAGTGCAGTGGTGCAATCTCGGCTCAGTACAACCTCTGCCTCCCAGGTTCGACCAATTCTCCTGCCTCAGCCTCCCAAGTAGCTGGGATTATGGGCATGCACCACCATGCCCAGCTCATTTTTGTATTTTTAGTAGAGATGGGGTTTCACCATGTTGGCCAGGCTGGTCTCAAACACCTGACCTCATGATCTGCCTGCCTCGGCCTCCCAAAGTGCTGGGATTACAGGCATGAGCCACTGCGCCCAGCCAACACATAAATTAAAATACTTGGTGTTCTCCCATAGGGGTTTTTGTTTCTTAAAAAAATTCAGTCTGAACCTAAACAAAATCTGAAGTTCTATTCATTTTTCTTGGATCTTTTTTCCTTCTGTTCTTTAGATTGGATAATTTCTGGTGGTCTCTTTTTCAGTTCACTCCTTCTTTGTTCTGCCATCCCAAATCTGCTGTTGAGCCCATCTAGTGATTTTTTTTCTTTCAGTTATTATACTTTTCAACTCTGGAATTTCCATTTACATTTTTCTACTGAGATTTCTTCTCATATTTTTCTTTAATTTTTATTATTATTTTTTGAGATAGGGTCTCACTTTGTCACCCAGGCTGGAGTGCAGAGGTGTAATCACAGCTCACTGCAGCCTTGACCTGCTGGGCGCAAGTGATCTTCCTGCCTCAGCCTCCTGAGTAGCTGGTACTACAGGCACATGCAACCAAACCCAGCTAATTTTTGTATTTTTTTGTAGAGGCAGGGTCTCGCTATGTTACCCAGGCTAGTCTTGAACTCCTGGGCTCAAGGAGTTCTCTCGCCTCAGCTGCCTAACATGCTGGGATTACAGGTGTGAGACACCATGCCCAGCCTTAATTTTAAAAATATATTTGTATTTACTGCTTTAACGTTGTCTGCTAAATCCAACATCTGGGCCTTAGTCTGTTTCTAGTTACTGCTTATTTTCTTGAATCTGGGTCACTTTTCTGTTTCTTTGCATGCTTGTAATTTTTTAATGAAAATTGGACATTTTAGTAATGCATTGTAGTGACTGTGGGGTGTTATTTATTTTTCTGTGATGGGCATGTGTGTGTGTGTGTGTGTGTGTGTGTGTGTGTTTTAAGTAATTTGCCCATACTTAAACTATGACATGTGACTCCCACACAGTATACGGCCACTAGTGTTTCTGCTTATTGATTTTCATTTGTTGTTTTATTGTTTTTAGCCTGGCTAGGAGGCACCCGTGTCTTCCTAGCTTAATGGTTAGCCTGTGACTAGTGCAGAGGTGGTGTTCAAACACCTGAAGCTTATTGAGCTTTCACCCTCTGATGATCCAGGTTGATTGGGAAGTGCATGGAAAGTTCAGCCAGTTCTTAAGCCTGCCTTGGGTTTTCTTTCTGTTGAGACCTCTTATGTCTCCCTTCCTCATCCATGTAGTTTCACAGCCACCCAGGGATGTGAGGAGACCATATCTGGCCCTTTTGTGACTCTTTTCTTTCCAGGATCTCCCCTTCAGATTTCTAGCTGGTCTTCCACTGCACCCTCTTCAGACCACAGCCTCAAGCTAGAAGAATGTCTTCTCCCTGTTAGGTTCCCACCAGGTTGGCCCCTTTTAGCTGTCAGAGCTATGGATTTTCTACCACTCCTTCAATCTCCCCCTTGTCCCAAGTCAGATCTGCCCTCTCTGGCAGTGAAAATTGCTGGTTTTTATGGTCCCAGCCCTCACCTGATAAAACTAAGTTTTAAGGCATTAAGTTTGTGTCTGGATGCTCTTGCCCCTAAGTTTAAGCAATTTCTCAGGACATCTATTTATTGTCTGTCTGCCATTGATTGATTTCTAGAATCCTGAAATGGCTGTTTTTGACAACTTTGTCCAACTTTCTTACTGTCATTTCCTTTTGAGGAAACAGTTCACTGACCTGTTCATACCATCATAGCCAGAAGTCTCTTCCCTGAATCATTGCATGGCATTTTTAAATTACTTACTACATATCTCCTCATCATTGCCCATTTCTGTTTCTCTTTTTTCCTTTATTGCTACCATTTTCAGTTGTTTCAGATCTCCAGTTGTATATTTCTAATGACAGTGATTAAGGGCAAGTTCTGTTCCTTAATGTAAATATACATATATTTACATTATATATATAGTTAAGACTTGCATTCCTCATTTATACCAGAAACTGTTCACCATGAAATTTTGTATGTCAACCAATTTGAGTTCCTAAAGAGATAACCCATATGTATAGAGTATAAGTTTATCGCTGCCAAAAATAGATGAAGAGAAAATGGAAAATCCTTTGATTTGTGCCTGTGAACAGAGATAGCACAAGTTCTATAATTTCAGGAAGCTGTTAACAATAAAATGAGAAATTTTTAGGATGCTCTGGTTGAAAGATGCTTTTTTTTTAAGTGTACATTTTATTTTATTTGATCTTATTTTTGAGACCGAGTCTCACTGTGTCACCCAGGCTGGAGTGCAGTGGCGTGATCTCAGCTCACTGCAACCTCAGCCTCCCAGGTTCAAGCGATTCTCCTGCCTTAGCCTCCCGAGTAGCTAGGGTTACAGGTGTCTGCCACTATGCCCAGCTAATTTCTGTATTTTTAGTAGAGACGAGGTTTCACCATGTTGGCCAGGTTGGTCTCGAACTCCTGACCTCAAGTGATCCACCCACCTCAGCCTCCCAAAGTGCTGGGATTGCAGGTGTGAGTCACTCTGCCTGGCCCAAAAGTGTACATTTTAAATGTGAGGGTGAATTCACTGCTCATAAGCCATTTATTTACTTTTGGCGGGGGGAGGGAGAGAGAGAGAGAGAGAGAGTGTGTGTGTGTGTGTGTGTATGTGTTGTATATAGAGAGTTTGAACAGTTGAGCAATACATTGTAAAACCTAGATTTGACAATATTTAGGTTATTTTATTAAACTTACTATCTGCCTATATGTCTCTTAAAATGGTCTATCCAGTTTGATTACTCATCAATTAAAAACAATGGTCTAGTAATTCATGTGGCCAATTAAATCTAAAAGTTAGACAGGAAGCGTTGTTATTTACAGATTTATTAATGATACCTCAAATTTGTATCTCACTTTTCAGTTTAAAAATTGCTTTCACAAACAATATTTTATTATGGTTTATAAAATATCCCTTTGGGATATATTAGAGTTTTTACAGATGGGGAATTCTAAGTCCGTAATCTTCGTTCTACCACTCCGACTCCCCATATTCAACGTAGTGAAAGAAGATGGTGTACTGTGTATATTCACTAGTCCTCTTAGCAAGCACTTAGTATCTTTTCCCACTCAGTTTAAGTCTTATCTCTGCTGAAAAGCCTTCCTGGACTTTTCTAGGCAAAGCCAAATTCGTGTGTCCTTCATTTAGGCTCAAGTAGAACCGTAAGCTGACTGCTGTTTATGTAACATATAAATTGTGATTTTTAAATTGACTTTTGTCTTCCTAAGTTTTAAACTTTTAAAGAAAAAGTCATTTTTCATCTTTGCATTCCCTGACTTGTCACAGTGCCTGACACTTAATAGAACTCAGTAAATGCTTCTTGGGGGAAAAAAAAAAAACTAGGTACAATTGTATTATGGCAGTTCTGAGGAGAGAGAAGCTGAGGCGTCTTGGTGAATACAGCATTGATCTGGGCCTTGTATTAATGGTAATTAGAATTCGAGTAAGCATAGATGGTAGTGGGAAGAGTTAAGAACGTCAGTTCTCAATACAAAGTTGAAGTGATGAGAAGGATCAAAATGCCTCGGGATAAAAGCATAGGTTTCTACTTGATTGAAGCTTTAGGTGTTTGGCAGAGACTAGTGGGAAATAAGGTGGAATAAGTGTCAGTTGAGTATAAATTGGGAAGAGTATTTGAATGCCAGGCTGAGAAATATGGACTTTATTAAAGATTTTGAGCAAGTAAATGAAGTGAGCAGAATTGTGCTCGGAGAAGATTGATCTGTCACAGCGTATGCAGGGTGAATAGAGGAGCAGGCAGACGATTAGGAAACAGTCTTAAGTGGTTATGTAGAGGGGGAATGAATTCAGGAGACATTATGAAGGTAGAATATAGAGGATTTGACAGCTGGTTGGATGAGTAAGATAAGAGGTAGCACAAAGATTGTGCCATCCTTATTGTAATAATTGTCTTGAATAAATCATTTTACCTCCAATTTCAGTTTCCTCATCTATCAAATGAAGTTTATACTTGACCTGACTGTACAGGGTTGTAGTGAGAATAAATTAAGAAATGCTTTGGAAATTACTTGTTTAAATAGTTACCTAATTACCTTTTTTGGGGGGTGGGGGAAGGGGGTCTTTGAGGTAGGGTCTCACTCTGTCACCCAGGCTGGAGTGCAGTGGCATGGTCTCAGCTCATTGCAGCCTCTGCCTCCCAGGCTCAGATGGTCCTCCTGCCTCAGCCGCCACGAGTAGCTGGGACTACAGGCGTGTACCCCCACACCCGGCTAATTTTTTTTTTATTATTTGTAGAGACAGGGTCTCCCTGTGTCTTGCTCTGGCTGGTCTGGAACTACTGGGCTCAAGCAATTCTCCCACCTCAGCATCCCAGAGTGCTGGGATTACAGAAGTGAGCCACCACATCCAGCCGAAGTAATTATTTTTAACCATCATAAGTCTTTTAAGATCAGTTGTCCCTATTTGTACTGTTTGTTGCTGTGAGCTACAGCTCCATTTAAGTATATTTCGCTTATGTTGGATGGTCTTAGATTGTTGGAGAGAACAAAAAGAAAAGAACTTGTACAAAAATGAGAACTGAGCATTAAAATCTGAAATTTTTATTTTTAAAATGTGTTTTAGAAATCGATTTTAACCTTGGGCTAGAAGCTTCTGCTCTTAAGATGAGAGCTTATTTTGATAGTCAGTTGGTCCCATACTGTGCATTAGCAAAAGAGGTAAGCAGTTAGGGGTCTACCACCTGGGCCTGCAGACACTTGATCATCTCTGGGCCTGCCTGCAGAGAAAAAAGGACCTCAGTTCCTGTATCTTTAGATACTTTTCTAAATGGCAGTGGGTATAAATAACCAAAGAATTTGAAGTAGACAAGCTTTAGTGAATACTCTTCAGATATGATGTTTATATTTGTGTACATATTCTAACTACCTGTTGGATTGTATTATTCTTAAGGGTAGGAAATAATTCTCTCTCTGTTTCTGTCACCTCTATTGGTATATTATGGATACAAACACTTACTAGCAAGTGCTTTCTAGTGGTGGGGAAGGCTTATAGTTGTTCTAAAGGCGTATAGGTGGTCTAAGGTGTTAGACATACGCTATTAAAAATACTGAGTTAATACATCAGTTTAGGTAACAGAATTCATTTCTCCAACATTCTTCCGTATAATGTAAATACTTTTCTTTTTCTTAGTTTGATGTAATTAGAATCATTTACTTAGGAGACATAGCATGTTATTGAGTCTTTCACTTAAATATAAGGTTTTCCTAACTGGATAATTAGGAAAATAAAATACATTTATTTCCCCTTATACACTCTTCAAACATAATTTAGAGCTACCTTCTTTTAAATCAAAATATCAGTCCTTAAATAATTTTTTGAAATACATATATAGGGGCAATAACTACTTAATAGTAACAACAAAACTAATATATTTGAGTGCCTACTTTGTACCAGATATTGTTTGAAGCACTTTTTATGTGTTAACTCCATTGAGTTACCATAGCCGCCATGTGAAATAGGTATCGTTATTACTCCTCTTTTACAGATGAAGAAATTGAGGCTTAGAGAGATTCAAGATTACTTGTCCAAGATCACACAACTAATAAATGTCAGTGTGAGGATTTAAATACAGGTTATCTGGCCCCAAGAGCCTGCATTATTTCCCATAAATTATATTGAACAACTGTTTTATATATACTTGTCATGTGCACATTACTGTGCTAGGCACTAGGTGTTCTTAAAAAGGTAAAATAAAGCCCCTGCCCTCAATGAACCTATAGAAGTTCCAGTAGAAAAACAGTACAGGCCTGGTGCAGTGGCTCATGCCTGTAATCCCAGCACTTTGGGAGGCCGAGGCAGGTGGATCACCTGAGGCTGGGAGTTCAAGACCAGCCTAACCAACATGGTGAAACCCTGCCTCTACTAAAAATACAAAATTAGCCAGGCGTGGTGGTGCATGCCTGTAATCCCAGCTACTTGGGAGGCTGAGGCAGGAGAATCGCTTAAACTCGGGAGGCAGAGGTTGCAGTGAGTCAAAATCGTGCCATTGTACTCCAGCCTGGGCAACAAGAGGGAAACTCAGTCTCAAAAAAACAAGAAAAGAAAAACAAAGTACAGATAAGTGCTAGAAAGAGAGTAATGAAGCGGGTTCATTAAGAGATGCTTTTAGAAGGTAGGTACTACTTCTCCTAAACAGTGAACCCATAGCCTGCAGTGAAGTAGAGGACATTGCAGGCAGGGACAATCCTTTGCAGCAGTAATTTTCCCTGTGTGGTCCACAGATCACTGGCAGTTCCCTAAATTTTTTCAGAGTCTGGGTCGAGGGAGCTATGAAGTCAATGCAAGGTATTATTTTCATAGTAATACCAATACATTCTTGCTGTTTTCACTATATTTGCTTTGACGGTCAGTACAGAAGCAATGGTGGGTAAAACTGCTAGCACCTTAGCATGAATCAAGGCCGTGGCACCAAACTGTGCTGCTGGCAGCCATCATATTCTTCACTGTCACAGACTCACAGGAAAACAAAAAAATCACGTTCACTTAAGAATGTCCTTGATGAAGCAGTAAAAAGTATTAATTTTATTAATTTCCCACATTAGTATATGATATTTTTCATATTCTACATGGCAAAGTGAAAAGTATTCATAAAGCACTTGTGTTACATACCAAAATATTTTCATTGTTTCAAGGAAAAGTACTGTGTGATTGAGTTGCAAGCTGAACTAGCTGCTTTTTTCATGGAGCACCATTTTTTTCTTGTAAGAACAATTAATGGACAAACCATAATATTCAGTTTTATGCATCTGGCACTCAAATATATTAGTTTTGTTGTTACTATTAAGTAGTTATTGCCCCTATATATGTATTTCAAAAAATTATTTAAGGACTGATATTTTGATTTAAAAGAAGGTAGCTCTAAATTATGTTTGAAGAGTGTATAAGGGGAAATAAATGTATTTTATTTTCCTAATTATCCAGTTAGGAAAACCTTATATTTAAGTGAAAGACTCAATAACATGCTATGTCTCCTAAGTAAATGATTCTAATTACATCAAACTAAGAAAAAGAAAGAAAGTATTTACATTATACACCATTTTCTTGAAAATGAAGTGGGCCTGCCACTTCAAGGGAAGAAACTGACACTATTTTTTTCCATTGGTAAAATGTAAGCTCTCCTGGTAGAAATTAGAATTTTGAAAAATTTGTGTCCTCCACTATGAGCTCGACAGTTTCTCAGTACTTAAAGATTTTTTCTGATGAGATCCGTGATGATAGTAACAAATGTGGTCTTGTATAATGCAATGTCCTCACATTTGAAAGAGCTCCGTAACTCAGTAAGCCGATATTTTACAAATAATGACTGAGGTTTAATGTTACAAAATCATGAGTAAAAGATTCATGCAAAGTGCATGATTGTCCAGTGGATTTTAGTGTAATAACATATGAAAAGTTCACTGATAAGGTTTCAGATTCGACATTGCAGTTAACTTTTAAGAAAGTACCACTTGTCAAGTTTTGATGTATTATCAAAGAAGACTCCACAGTTTTCTGAGAAGGCTATTGAAATACTTTTCCCTTTTCTAGCTATCTGTGAGGCCAGATTTTTCTTTGTATACTTAAGTTAAAATAACATACTGTAATAGTAAATCCATACATTAAAAGGAGTGCCAGTCTTCTAAGTAAATTTATTACGTTTTGGAAAATGTAGTTAATTTTCTTTAAAATATGTTATTTACATTAACACATAATTGGCTTATTATTTAAAATTAATTTTTAAATACTTTAAAAATTTATCAGCTTCAATTTCTAATGCCATAAATAACAATGGATATTACCTAAAGAAACAAAAAGCTCTCTGAATCCTCAGTCATGTTTAAGAGTTAAAAGGGTTTCCCACATGGAGGTGGGGATGTAAATAGAAGATTCTTTTCTTTGTAGGCCAGGCACAGTGGATCATACCTGTAATCTCAGCACTTAGGGAGGCTGAGGTGGGAGGATCACTTGAGTCCAGGAGTTAGAGACTAGCCTGGGTAACAAGGCAAGACCCCATTGCTAAACATTAAAAAATAAAAATTAAGAAGTTTTTTTAAGTTGACAAGATTGTATGTATTTATACTGTTGTACAGCATGATGTTTTGCTTACAGTATCTTTAGTTGGAACAGAAGGCTCTCTTCTGAAGCAATAATGCTCAATAAGAGAGGCTGATAAAGCTAAATTATAGAGGACTTTGAATTCAAGGCCAAAGAATTTGGAATTTTATACTCTAAAGAGCTAAGCATCCTTTGAAATATTTGTTGGTGAGTTGAAAGTAGAGATTTGAGCAAATAGCTGAGTGGCCCACTTTATTACTATATTAGTCAGCTGTAGATTTTATAACCCTCCTCACTGGAAAGCCCCTGTTGACCATTATGCTCAGAGGATTTTTTTTTTTTTTTTTTTTTTTTTTGCTTTTCTACACACCCCTTCTCTGGAGTTTAAGCCAATTTTTCTTTCACTTCTCTATTATCAATTGGTATTGCCCATTGACTTCTTTATCTGATAACAGTTGAAGGTGCCTTGCAGATTAGTGATGCACTAAAACGTAGCCAAGAAGGTATAGCCCTTAACAGTGGGATCATTTGCCCAAATGAGTATTTCTAGAACATAATGGGAAGAAGGGGGGCCACAGTCTATCATACTATGTATTGTTGGGCTATATTACCTTCAGCCCACAGTGTAGGTGTCATTAGCATGTTCTGTTTCCAGGCTAGATGTAGAGGTCTTGGACTACGGAGGAATTTATTCATTCAGCCATCCACTTTTCCAAGAGTGGCTCTTATTTTTCCCTCAAAGTAATAAAAGGCAGGGTACATTGAGCCTACATAAAATATATATATCCTGTATCAATTTACCCTTAAAAATAATTACATCTGTCCTTTAGCTCCAAAATTTTGATGTCTATGAGTAGTTTGGCAGTTTCCAAGCTGGATCCATAAGGAAGCTATCACCTGGTTTGAGAATGTGAGAGTTGCCACAGAAAACCAAATTTAGAATTATGCATGGGTATTTTTGAATAGAGAAAATTGCCCTTTGGATCATATAAGACTCAAGACATCCTTTCAGCACATGTTAATATTGCTAACTCCATGACTGTTGCTTCTTCTCTTTGCATGCCTTGGTTTATTTACTTACCTACTTACTCCTAATGCCCAAGGGAAACTAAACTAAAAAATTGCTAGGCGCGTTAATGCTGTGCTCCGCTGCCCCTTACTGCTCTCACAGCTTAGGGCAAGGATGATGAAGTAGTAAGGATTATTTAGGGGCAATTTTTTTAACCTGTTTACATTTTTCATAAATACTTTATACTACCTCTTGAAAATGAGTAAACTCTGATCAGAACTGATGAAGTTTAAAGCTAAAAAACTTTTTTTTTTTTTTGAGACAGAGTCTTACTCTGTTACCCAGGCTGGAGTGCAGTGGCGTGATCTCGGCTCACTGTAAGTTCCGCCTCCCGGGTTCACGCCATTCTCTTGCCTCAGCCTCCTGAGTAGCTGGGACCACAGGTGCCCACCACCACGCCTGGCTAATTTTTTGTATTTTTAGTAGAGACTGGGTTTCACCATGTTAGCCAGGATGGTCCCGATCTCCTGACCTTGTGATCCACCTGCCTCAGCCTCCCAAAGTGCTGGGATTACAGGTGTGAGCCACCGCGCACGGCCTAAAAAGCATTTTTAAAAGCATCTTCTTTTACAGCTGAGGTCAGTGGTGTTAAGTGATTTGAGCAAGTTACAGCTAGCTGGTTACAGAGCTGGGCCTTAGGAAGTCTGCTGTCAGTCAAGTGCTTTTTTCCTGCTTCTCCATGCAAATGGTGATTTAAAAAAAAAAAGACATCCATAGAGAGTCTTAACCATCTTAGCTTCTACTTACTCTTCAACTTTTAACCTAGGACTCTAGCTTGAGCATACTAACAAATTTCTTTCATTCTAAATGAACGTTAAAATAATCACTCAGGTATAAAGTTTTAAAAAATTGAGGTGATATTCTGTGTGCATGTCACTATTTATATGTTACATATAATTTTATACAATTCTTACTCCTGTTTAAAAAAATGACTTGCTGTGGTTTTTGTTTCACAGCGTGACACTGATAATCAGTACATGATCATGTTACATATACAAATGATGCCTTTCATAATTCCTTTTTGTGGCACTTTGACACTCTGAGAAAATGGAATCACATATTTTCAGAAGAAATGGAATTACTCGTTTATTAAAAAAAGTTAGCTTACATTTGAATGCCCAAACAGGATTAGACTCTCAGAATTCAGCTTGTCATAACAGTGTTCAAATGCACAGAAGAAATGTTTAAGCATTTCTCTTTAAAATAAATCTAAAAGTAATTATTCTTAAATAGGGAGTTGCTCTAAGTAAATGTAAATTCACTTTTCTGTGTCTAAAAAATTGTTTTGGTGGTGATATTTGATAAAATAATTTTATATTCAATTGATTATAATTGTCTTATATATTATTTTAGCACCATGAAGTACATTGATTTTTCAGTAGCTAAGCATGTGGGCTAAGATTTTACTTTTTTGAAAAATATTTTATCATGTTATTGCGTTTGTACTCTGTGAGAAGGAATGCATATGATCTAATTCCACCAAGTTTTAACCCATCAGGAACTCCATCGTAAACATTTTTATTCATTGATTTATTTATTTTTGAGACAGAGTTTCATTCTTGTTGCCCATGCTAGAGTGTGATGGCGTGGTTTCAGCTCACTGCAATCTCTGCCCCCCGGGTTCAAGCGATTCTCCTGCCTCAGCCTCCAAGTAGCTGGAATTACAGGCGCCTGCCACCACACCTGGCTAATTTCTTTCTATTTTTAGTAGAGATGGGGTTTCACCACGTTGGCCAGGCTGGTCTCGAACTCCTGACCTCAGGTGATCCACCCGCCTTGGCCTCCCAAAGTGCTGGGATTACAGGCGTGAGCCATTGCACCCGGCCCCATTAGAAACATTTTCAAAATGCTTAGCTAGGCATGGTGGCATGCACCTGTAATCCCAGCAACCTGGGAAGCTTAGGCCTGTAAATCTCTTGAGCCCAGGAGTTTGAGACCAGCCTGGGCAACATTGGGAGACCCTGTCTCCAAGAAAATTAAAACAAAAGTACTTTAAGTGCTAACAAATCTGGTTGATGTTCTAACATGGATTGTAGTTCTTGTTTTTTGAGATACTATGCAATGGCATAATGAAAAGTATCCTGGCCAACTTTGTAAAATATTGTAAGGAAAAACTGAAAATTTTAAAGTGTTTTTATTTTTTTAAAAAGGCTATATTGTGTTTAGGGAGTGTGAGCCTGTAAATCAGGTTGCGCTGGTTCAGCTCTCAGCTCCTTCTGTTGACTGAATGTGTAACCATGAGAGAATTAGAACTCCAATGCTCATTTTCCTTATCTGTAAAAATGATGATAATAGTTCCTTCCGCCTACGGTTGTTTGCAAGATTAGATGAGAAAATGAATATCAAATACTTAGTAGGCTATGATGTTTCCATTTCAATTCGTTGAATATTAAATATGTCATAATCTTATTTTATTCAAATTTAAATCATTTAGATTTGAAATCTGATATAAAAAGTTAATAATGTTTCACTTTTGTGCAAATTTTGATTCAGTGTGAATCTCTGCAAATGAAAATTTTGTTAATAGTTGCCTAATTTCTTTTTCTTTTTCTTTTCTTTTCTTTTCTTTTCTTTTCTTTTCTTTTTTTTTTTTTTTTTTTGAGACGGAGTTTCATTCTGTCACCCAGGCTGGACTGCAGTGGCATAATCTCGGCTCACTGCAACCTCCACCTCCCGGTTCAAGCAATTCTCGTGCCAAAGCTTCCCAAGTAGCTGGGATTACAGGTGCCCACTGCCACGCCTACCTAATTTTTGTATTTTTAGTAGAGACAGAGTTTCACCATGTTGGCCAGGCTGGTCTCAAACTCCTAACCTCAAGTGATCCACCTGCCTCAGCCTCCTAAAGTGCTGGGATTACAGGTGTGAGCCTCCACACCCAGCAATAGTTGCCTAATTTGAAAGCTATTTGAATTGCATGGTAATTCACATGGCAGATGTACTTTGAGCAGTTAATAGAAATATCTACTGACCTTTGATAGGCTTATTCTTGAATGACACATTTTTCAGAACTATGTCCCTTACACTAAATGTTGACTTCATAATACTGTGAAAATTACCTATTTGAGTCTATGGAAAGTATTCATTTACATACCTTATCTGAAGATCACCACCCCCTCCCATTCGAAATAAATGGAGCCCAACCAGGAGTGATTGATATTTTTGTTCTTAAAACTGTAATGTCTTCAGAGAGAGTGCAGTAGGAGATGAAGCTTTATATGATTGGTTTTTTGTATGTAAAATAATGAGAGTTACAAGTTAAACTGTTTCTAATTGTGAAATGGATTAATAGTAATGTTAGATTTAAATGTGGGTTTTTTTCTTCATCAAACCAATAATTTGAAATGAATGTACTTTCAGTCTCTTTCTAAGTTTCATAAGAGTTCCAATCACATTTTGAATACAAAACATAAATATTTGTTTACACTCGTGCCTGTATATAATCATTAAACCAGTTAAACATTTTTAGTGTTTTAATATTTAAGGGTTTAGAACCTGACATCCTAAAATATTTTCTTCTTTTTTTTTTTTTTGAGACAGAGTTTTTGCTCTGTTGCCCAGGCTGGAGTGCAATGGTGCGATCTCGGCTCACTGCAACCTCCATCTCCTGGGTTCAAGTGATTCTCCTGCCTCAGTCTCCCAAGTAGCTGGGATTACAAGCACCCGCCACCACGCCTGGCTAATTTTTGTATTTTTAGTGGAGACGAGGTTTCACCATGTTGGCCAGGCTGGTCTCGAACTCTTGACCTCAGGTAATCCACCCACCTCGGCCTCCCAAAGTGCTAGGATTACAGGCATGAGCCACTGCGCCAGGCCTACTTTTTTCTTTTTTAAAACTTGTAATTTTTTTTCTAGCTTGCTTGTTTCCTTGCTTGCTTTTTTTGTGTGTGTGTGTGTTTGTTTTTTGTTTTGAGACAGGGTCTTGCCTTGTCGCCCAGGCAGGAGTGCAGTGATATGATCATAGCTCACTGCAGCCTTGACCTCTCATGCTCAATTGATCCTCCCACCTCAGCCTCCCAAGTAGCTGGGAGTACAGGCTTACGCCATCATTCCTGGCTAATTTTTGTATTTTTTGTAGAGATAGGGTTTCACCAGGGTTGTTCAGGCTGGTCTCGAACTCCTGGGCCTCCTAGAGTGCTGGAATTAAAGCCAGCCTGGGTGTGAGCCATTGCACCCAGCCAAAACTTTTAATTATGAAATTATTTTAGATTCACAGTAAATTTGCAAAAATATGCAGAAGATTTCTGCATACCCTTCACCCAGTTCCCCTAATGTTAGCATCTTACATAGCTATAGTAGAATGTTTGAAACTAGGCAATAAGAAATACTGAATACTGATATAGTGCTATTAGGTAAAATATAGGCCTTATTTTAAATTTCATTTTTTCCAGTAATGTCTTTTTCTCTATTCTGAATCCCATACTGTAGTTAGTTGCCATGTCTCCTTATCACAAATATTTTAATAATCCTCACCTTATATCTGAGGTACTTCTAGGCTCTAAAGAACAGAAAAAGGAAAAAATTTTGTATTTATGGACTTGCCATTAGATGATAACCACATCTCATTTCCTACTTCATCTGCTTATTCTCCCTTAACCTTTTGTGTTTGCATTGGAGAATGACTATAACGTAGGCCCTTCTTCACTTGAAATATAAAAGTTATTTTGAAAGCAAGCAATGTTTCCTAGAATATACATGTCAGCTCAAAACAAGCATAGGCTATGTTGCCCTATTTTGCTGCCTTGATTAAAACATGTACACACAGTACTATAAGATTTTATTAAATAGTTACTATTAGATCCAGTTTTGAATACATGAGATTAATTTTACTTACACCACAAAAATTTCAAAAGTTCAGAAACTGGTGACATCAGTTAGAAGATTGGAAGACTTTTTTGAAGAACCTGACTTGCTCAAGAAGACTTAAAGAACAAATTGCTTACCTAACAACTTAGAATGAAGGAATCACAAAGTCCCCCAAGCCTCCACTCCACCCACTCAGACTTCCCAAATTTTTTAGCTACCTGCCACCTACCCCCTCAACTCTTAAGTCCTGAATAGACAACCAATGATTACTAGGTACCAGGAAAGCCCACAACTTGGAAGATAGATAACAAAAAGAAACCAAAACAACAACCACCACCACCACGTTACAGGGAGTAGGACCTTTCCCCCACAATTACATTTATATGCTCAGAGAGAGAAGAAATTGTATTAACAGGAATGAAATGCTAGTTTGGGGGATGGGGGTTGAGTTTCAGAAAAGGAAAATGAGTCCTTGAAATTAAAAACATGGCAACAAAATGAAAAACTTTATCTGGCTGACTTGAAGATGAAACTGAAAAAATAAAGGTCTACATCTTTTTCTTTTTTTTTGAGATGGAGTCTTGCTCTGTGGCCTAGGCTAGAGTGCAATGGTGCGATCTCAGCTCATTGCAACCTCTGCCTCCTGGGTTCAAGCAATTCTCCTGCTTCAGCCTCCCAGGTAGCTGGGATTACAGGCGCGCACCACCACGCCCAACTAATTTTTCTATTTTTAGTAGAAACAGGGTTTCACCATGCTGGCCAGGCTGGTCTTGAACTCGTGACCTCAGGTGATCCACCCACCTCAGCCTCCCAAAGTGCTGGGATTACAGGTGTGAGCCGCTCTACCTGGCCTACGGTCTCTTATCCACAATTCCAAAATCCCAAAAGTTCTGAAAATTATATTTTTCATAAGTTTACAACACAACCTATTTCTATCCTTTATAGATTTTGCTAAAGAAATATCACTGTCTCAGATCTCATTGTATGTGGGTGGGATGAGGGGTGGGTATTACATTATGGGTTATATTCTATATTAACTTTCTAAAATTCTAAAAATTCTGATAAGCATTTGGCCGCAAAGGTTTCAGATAAGAGATTAAGGACCTATATCCCAGAAAAATGGAGCAAAAAGGCAGAGATGGGAAATACAAGAGAAGAGATGTGAAAATTAGAGGACCGGTCCAGAAGATCCAATAATACAGCTTCCCGAAAGAAAATGTGTAGCGTGAGAATCATCACCCGATAACACAAGAAAACTTCCAGGACTGAGGACATTAATTTTCATCTTGAAAGAGACCACAGAATTCTCCACAAAGTAGGTGAAAATGAAACAAGTCCACACTGAGGCATATAACTATGGACACTGTTTTAGAACATCAGGTGTATTTGGATAGTCCTACAAGCTGCAAGAGAGAAGAAAAAAGTCACATACAAGGAGATGGGAATCATGCCTTCAGATTTCTCAGCAGCAAGGCTAAAAGCTAGAAGACAATTGAGAGTTATCTTCAAAATTCTGAAGGGATTTTTTTTTCCAACCTATAATTCTGTGACCAGCCAAACTATCATTAAACTGGGATGGTTAAATAGATATTTTCAGCCATGAATCAGATTCTCAAAAAATTTACTGTGCTAAACTGAATTTCCTATTTTGCTTTTTTTCTCTGTTAGCCTCAAAGAGATGAAAATAAGAAATGAAGACTTCTATTGGGGGACGGGGGGGAAGAGGAAAAATAAATATTGAAGAAAGTGGATAATCCATAAATCAAAATATTTCTGAATTCATTAAGAGATTCCTTAGTATCTATATCAGAGTCGTATGTGTTTAATCTTAATCTGATAGACTTGGAAAGTTATACTTAATCTTGTGTCACTCAGAATTCCCTTTAGATTATGACAGAACATTTGTTGACAATGTATAGTTAAAATATTTCCATTGTATCATAGAAGAGTCAGAAAAATCAATCAATTTCCTAGTTAGAAGTATTTTAAAAATTTGAAGTCATCAAAAAAAGAAAACATTTGTAGTCCTCATTTCTAGGATGAGATTCTGAGACTTAAAATTCTAGTTTGCTATTAAGTGTAATTGGTGCCGACCTCCTGTGCAGTGTTGATGGCTAGCTCAGCTGCACCAGGGAAGATGAGTTGTTTGAAGGGTAGATGTATAGGTTTTAGCCATATGATTGCATCAGGCCAGCACTGCCGCTAGTCCTCACTCTAAACTGTCGGTGAACGGACTCCATCCAGCCTCTTCTGTTTTATGCCTTGCCCAGTGGATACGTTAGGTCGGATAATGACCACAAAAGGGAAAACCACAACCTTGGAAAGTTGTTTATATGGTCAGTAAAGGTGCTCAGCAGCTAGCAAGAGAAAATAATGCAGACCAGTGCTGTTGTAGACTGAGATTTTTCTTAGATCAATTTTAACTGTCCACTTTTCACAAAGATAAGACTTAAAAACTTTTATTTCCCTTTTTCTCTCTGATTTATATATTTCAGCAATTAGTAGTCTGTATTGGGATAAATTTAAAGTGAGAATGTCCCAGTTGTGAGATAAGATCTCATTTAAGTACGTTAATATAGTATGACCAATATTTTCTATTCCTATTTCTACTCTGTACAGAAAACCACTTTTAAGTCCCTGTATCAGTTTAGTAGTTCTTTGGCTTTTTTCCTAATTAAATGTCAGCATCCCTTTGCTGGTTTTCTTTTCTCTCCCTTTCCTTTCCCTTTCTCTGCATAGCCTGACCTATTTCTCTTTCCTCAAGGTATAGAACCTAGCCAGGCACAGTGGCTCATGCCTATAATTCTAGCACTTTGGGAGGCTGAGGCAGGCAGATCGCTTGAGCTCAGGAGTTCAAACCAGCCTGGCAACATGGCAAAACCCCATTTCTACAAAAAATATAAAAATTAGTCATGTGTAGTGGCTCGCACCTGTAGTCCCAGCTATTTGGGAGGCTAAGGCAGGAGGATCAGTTGAACCCAGAAGGTGGAGGTTGCAGCGAGCTGAGATTGCCACACTGCACTCCAGCCTGGGCGACAGAGGGAGACCCTTACTCAAAAAAATTTAAAAAGGTATAGAACCCATGTCACCTCTAGTGTAGCCTTCCGTGTCTCTTACCCATGCCTGTCTCCACTCCCGGAGACTCTTGCTGCATGAGATGAGAGTCCTAAGAAGGTAAGAGAGGGGTGGGGTTCGTATGGGTTCTCGTTTCTAATGAGAAGAAGAGAGGATGGGTACAGTGCTAGAAAGGAAGTGATTTCACATATGAAATTGGGCTGCCTAGTTTTGAATTCCTAGTCTGCTGCTTACTGTGTGACCTTGGACAACTAACTGAACATCTCTGCACTTAGCATCTTCCTCTGTCAGTTGGAGATAATGGTAGTACCTGTTTCACAGAGTTATTGTGAGGGTTAAAGAAAATAATATATGTAAAGTACAATATAATGGCTAAGAACATGCACTCCAGGCCAGGCGCTGTGGCTCACGCCTGTAATCCCAGCACTTTGGGAGGCCTAGAGTTAGAAGTCAGGATCCTCGTGACCCTTTGCCAGGGGAACCGTGACTGGTGGGGGCCCCCCAGGGTGCTTCTGGTATCTTGTTTCTTGATCTAATTTGGTGGTTACATGGGTGTACGTTTCATTGTGAATATTCAGCTCTATGCTTATAATTTATGTATTTTTATCTATGTATGTTAAACTTCAATTTAAAAATTGCATTAGATCAGAAGTCTTGAGAATTTAGGAAATGATAGGTCACTTTTTTCTACATGGCAGATCGACTTAGAATTAAAGATTTCATACTTAAAAACAAGGGGGACGGGTGTTCACTACAAGCTGCAAAATTAACCAGTCTTGCTTCTGATCTTAAATTGTGTCTTCAGAGAAGCAAAGAACTATGAAGAGCTACAGATAAGCACCTTGGGCAACATACTTTGAAGTAATCATTAGTTTTCATTTATCCTGCCACTTCACATACACTGTGACAGATTACATGGGCTACATATAAAGTTATATGTAAAAGTGTAATTTGGAGTTTGTGGAATCAGTCTTTTTAACTTTCCTCAGAGTGATACATTGTCATCTTGCAGACCAGATCTGGTGGTTTTAAAGTTTGATTGAAGATAAAGTTTCATGTGATCCAACTGTGAGATGTTAAGAGGCAAGTTTGAAGGTGCTTGAATGAGCATTAGTTGTAATTGATGCTTGTTGCTTTGACTGCGTGTTGGTTTGCTTGATGCTGTTTTAGTAACTTAGTGAGTTTCATCTTTAAATGGGATTTGTGTTACTTAGTCTGCATTGTGCCAAGACTGATAATTGAAAACCGTACACTTTCACAGAACATTGCTTCATAGCTCTTCCCTTTTCTGCTATTTTTATATCACATGAATCATTGCACATTTAAGCCATCTGCAAGGCCTGAATGGAATGAGATAAAAAGCTGCCATCACTTAAATTGACACTTGAAAAGCTGTTATTCATTTGGAGTTTATTCCTGATTATCCTTTATATTTTAAAGTTTCAAACTTCATTTCAAGATGGTTGCCAACATCTCTGAGCCAGAAGTATCTCTGATTCACAGCTTCTTTTAGCCTGAAAGTCAAAGGGAGGGGATGCATCCTGTCACCTAGAAGAATCTGTTGGGGACTCACTTCTATCTCATTTGAGAGAATAAGAACAGCAAGTTCCACTCCTGTTTTAAAAGTATGTTGGTTTAATCAGCTCAGCAAGCCATCGGGTTTGGCATGCACTTCATAGGGAATAGTAAAAACACAAGGCTCTTCGATTGCCAGATGAATACTTCAAAATTGCATGCCTAGAATGTGTCACACCTGTTAGATACTTATCAAAAATTTTCTCAACATAACTTTTTTGAGGATTTAGTGAAAAAAATAATTAGATAAATGCATGCTGGGATGTTGCAAAAGAGATTCATGATTAAAAATGCATATTCAGCCGGGTGTGATGGTGCGTACCTGTAGTGCCAGCCATTCGGGAGGCTGAGGTGGGAGGATCACTTGAACCCAGGAGGTTGAGGCTGCAGTGAGTTTTGATCTCGCTATTATACTTCAGCCTGGGGGACAGAGTGAGACACTGTCTCAATTGAAAAAAATAATAATAAAATAAAAATAAATAAATGCATGTCCACCCTTTGCAAGAGGCCTGGAGTGGGATCGCGCCCTCTGTGGAGTGGGTCGCCACCTCTGTCACGGTCCTCAAACCCTGCCACCGCCCTGGCCTAGGAGCCTGCCCCACCGCAGCGGCCGGCAACGCAGCAATCTGCCGGCGGTGGTCGCGGCCCCCGGGCCCTCTCACGGCAACCAGCTGCGGGCCTCCCGGGGCAAAAGCCCATGGGCCACCACCATGGCCCTCAAGATGGTGAAGGGCATCATCGACTGCATGTTCGACAAGAACCTGCAGGACTTGGTCCGCGGCTTCTAAAACCACAAGGAGGATGAGATTGAAGAAGAATGGGGATAGTGACCACCAAGCATCTGTCTTCATTGAAGGATGCCCATGCAGCCCTTGGGCAGTGGAAGCCTTAGAAAGTCTTCTACCTGAATGACTGCCTGACTGCCTGCCTGCCTCCCTGCGTGGACAGCAAAGGCTGGCCTGAAGGAGAGCAGCTGTCTGATACCGCACCACTCCCAATACCAGAGGCTATGTCGGGCATGAGGTGCCAGGAGGGCAGGGAGGTTAAGGAATTTGCCTGCAGGCACCCAGTCACCCTCAGCCCATGTGCCTCTCCGTGGGAACCTGAGTTCTTGCCTTATTGTTACACTTTTCCAGAAGTGGTGTGACTTCGCCTGCCTCTGGCCTAATGAGATCATTTTTGTTCATCTCCATCCCCTTTCCCTTGGTTTTCAGCATATCAGAAGCTCTCCCTAACTGCTTTGGTGACAATGTGTAACTAACTTATGTACTCTTCAGATTCTTTTGAGTTGAAGGCATAGCTGATTGGCCTGGATTTTATTTTACTGAGCGTGATTCACCAGATTGGAAATGTGGTTTGCTTCCTGGGAGGACTTTTTCTGCACAGGCAGGATCTCCCAGTGCCCGTCCCTGCCCGCTTCAGCGCATGTCACTGAGCAGCCTGTTCTGGCATCCTGAGGACGGGCCACGGGGTCTGTCCAGCAGAGGACCATGCATTGTAGTCTAGGGTGTGGTTTTCAGGGGGGTGTGCCTGTCTTCACTGGGAAGCCCCTGAGCCTGGATTTCTTCCTTTGGAATTGGTGTGAGTTGATAGTGCCTTCCTTACAGGCATGGGCCCATTCAAGCGGGTATTGGTGGTGGAAACATTTTTAGAGTAGTGTGGGGCCGTCCTTGAAAGTTCCAGGCTTCCTTGTGGGCCCTGCTATTGGCCAATCAGTGATTCCATGCAGGACACGTGGTGTCTGGGGGCCCTGGCTTTCTCATCAGAAGACCATCTTTATGGCCCGGAAGGTCATTATTCAGGTGTTCACTTCTGATTCCGGATGTTCTCTGCAGCTGCTGGAGTTTCCTGATTGGAGAACAGCAAATGACTGTTCAATGACCATTCTAGTGGTCACCCCCTCCACGCTGTGCCCCCCCAAACTCGCTTTTGAAAAGCAGCTACCCTGTAGACCTCATGTTGTAGGTTTTTCCCACCCACCACACCCAAAATGCAGACTCTTGGCGTGTGCTTTTTCTGCAGCAGTATAGTTTCAAAAAAAAGTTTTTATTTTGTAATATATTTTCACTTAAAACTTGAGTGTGGCATCATGGAAACAAGGCTTAGCAATGATTTTAAAAGCCACGTGGAAAGGCAGCGTGATTGAGTGGAAATCAGATGAAGTTTGGGAGATCTGAGTCCAGGTGCTCCGACTGGCTTAATGGGGTGGCCCACGGAGAGCTCCCTGTTCTGTCTCCTCCTGTGTAACATGGGAACATGGGATGAGTTGCCTCCCTCCTTGTGGAATGGTGCTGAGGATGCTGCAGCAAAAACGTGGTTTTCTGGAAGCACCAGAGTGCTCAAAGAGGTTGTTTAGTTCACTGTTTTCCGGTCCTCAGGCTGTGACCTCTTAGTGGGTTGTAAATTCAATTTACCGGGTTATGGTAGTTAAGAAAAAGGAAAACAAACTAGAAAATAACAGAGTGCAGGCACATACAGTAGCTGTCCTGTCTTGAAACTTTGATTTCTGCATGTGATTCTTGTGTGCATGTGTGAGCGTATTGGGTTACCATGCACAACCCATTAAAATGAGTGCAAAAAGTAAAAAATTAAAAAATAAATAAATAAATAAATGCATACCCACACTCATTTATACTCTTTAACTGTGGGTATGTGCAAATCTTGCATTTTTATGCTAATTAGCAGATGAGTCAGGGTCTCTAAAGCCTTTTCCAACAGTTAGATTCTCTCAATGCAGTTTGCTCTGGGCTGCAGAAGGTTGGGTTCCCCTGTACTAAAGTTAGCTGGAATTGCATAAGTTAGGGAGGAGAGTACAGATTTGTTTCAGAGTAAGAAGCTTCTTGGCCAGGCACGGTGGCTCACGCCTGTAATCCCAACACTTTGGAAGGCCAAGGCGGGCGGATCACAAGGTCAGGAGATCAAGACCATCCTAGCTAACAGGGTGAAACCCCGTCTCTACCAAAAATACAAAAAATTAGACGGGCGTGGTGGCAGGCACCTATCGTCCCAGCTACTCGGGAGGCTGAGGCAGGAGAATGGCGTGAACCCGGGAAGTGGAGCTTGCAGTGACCCGAGATTGCACCACTGCACTCGAGCCTGGGCGACAGAGCGAGACTCTGTCTCCAAAAAAAAGAAGCTTCTTCAGTTGTTGCTAGGTCTTTCCTCTTCATAAATAATATCATTATAATACTTTGGCAACATAGTAGTAGTAACTCTAGAGCTAATAGAGGGAATGAAATATAAAAATATTTCCTTATTTCATTTCCTTGAGAGAGCCTGAGATCATAGACCAAAAAATGAAGTGACCTCCATAACTAAGTACAACAGACTCTATTTTCAAAATAGAAATATCTTAAAAATAGAAAGTTCTAAGAGTCTAAGAATGAAGGAACTATTTTTGTATCTTCAGATCCTAATGTATCTCCATGTGATCTTGGGCAAGTCACTTAGTACTTCCGTGTTCGTTAGCTCCCATTTTGTTAGCATACTATAAATACTCAAAACACCAACATTTTGTTTGTAGACGGTAGCATTTAGAACATTAATAGCATCTTTGTGTTTTGTTGTTGCTGCTGTTGTTGTTGCTTTTGTCTTTGAAGGGACTACTGTGATTTTTGCTTAAACATACCCTGTTTGGGGATGATTGCTGTGGGGGGATAACTTTAATTATTTTAAAGTAATTGTGTATATTTTTCATTCTTTATTTCTTTGCTTAGCAGACAGAAGGTGGAGCACAGACAGACGGCCAGCAGTCACAGACACAAAGTAGTGAAAATTCAGAGAGTAAATCTACCCCGAAACGGCTGCATGTCTCTAATATTCCTTTCCGCTTCCGGGACCCTGACCTCCGGCAGATGTTTGGGGTAAGTCTCTGAAGTCTTTTTATGGATTTTACAATTAAAGTAGATTTTAATCCCCCAGATGTGTTATTAGTCATTATTACTTTAGGATTAAACTACAAATAGATTGAAAGAACCTGAGGTAAATCAGTCTTTTCATCAGTCTTTAGAAGCCTTTTTCTGTCATCCAGTCTGCTCTAGACATAGTCTTGCAGGTGGCTGCACACATAAGGTGGCGATATGACCCAGCTTGCTGTGACTGAGGGGTTTCTTGTGATGTGAGACTTTCAGTGCTGAAACCAGGATGGTCACCCTACTCACCTACCAAACTCAGTAAACATACCAATAATATGCTTAGTTTCATCTGCAAGAACAAACATGCACATTCTTTTAGAGCAATGATTCCTAAACTTGTTTGCACACTGGAAATTACCTGGGAAGCTTAAAAAATATTGATGCCTATGCCTGACATTCTAGGGTTGTGATTTAATTGGCCTGGAGTGTGGCTTGGGCTTTGGTATGTTTACAAAATCCCCAGCTGATACTAATGTGCACATAAGTTTGGGAACCATTGCTTATTCATCCTGTCGCCTTCTTTGTTTTTTCTTTACCTTCCATATAAGTCCAGCTCAATACTGCCTTCCTCTCCTCTTATCTCCCTCAACTCCAAGACCAAAGAAACTAGGTTCAGGGATGCGTTATTGCCACTCTCTACTTAGCTTTGTAATGTCTAAAAAGATTCACAATGTAGAGAATACAGGTTTAGAGGTGGCTTATTGAAGTGGAAAGAGTATAGATTTTGGAGTCAAAGAGCCTGGGTTCAAATTCTATTCGCATGTGAACTTTGGAATTCATGTAACCTTTTTGAATTTAAATATCATATTTATAAACATAGAGACAGTAATGTCTACCTTTCAGAGTGTTATAAATTAAATGAAATAACATTTGTGAAAACAGTACCTCAGTGTTTTGTTTTTATAATACGTTGTTGCTCATACTGCACAGTGTCAAGACCAATATCTAAAATCATTGTAGAGGATTGGTTTGCTACCTCTGATGTATTCTTTCAACTGTTTATTTCCTCCTGAATCACCATCATGAAAAAAAGTTAAATTGCAAAGATTTGAGTTGTTGGGAAGTTAGTGAATGGCTGCTAAGGATCTTAATTTTTTCTGAGCCTGCTTGTTATTGCTTTTTGAATTTGACCAAACTCTTAACCCAGAGATAATCAATAGTTTTTTTGTTTTTTTTTTTTGTTTGTTTGTTTTCTTTTTTAAATTCCACTAGGATAGCTGCCTGGTACTTTATTAGAAAAGCAGATGCTCTTCTTTAAGTCTTGGTTGTGGCCACTTCACGGTGACAAGACACTGGGGCAAAATTCTGTCATTTATAGCTGACTACTTGGATGTATTTTCCGCACTAAAGAGAAGGCCAGAGTTGAGATTTAATGATGTTCTTGAAGTATTTGAAGAGCTTTTACACAGAAAATGGTAACCAGATATTTTCCATTTTTTCTGAGAAGAGAGCAACAGAAAATAAAGGGCAGCATAAAGGACTTGGGTTACGCAGAAGAAACTTCTCGGGAGCATGAGTTATTAGGTTCTCTACTGAATTATTAGAGCTTATATAAAATCTTAGTCTCTGGAGGTCTGTGAGAATGGAGTACATTCTCATCTGCCAGAAGTGTGTTTTCTCTTGAGTCAGAGAAATAGTGTCCATTGCAGATCTGCCTAGGCCAGTTAGTGACTTCTTGAAATGTATTATGCCCTTCTCATAAGGCATAAAGTGCAAAAGAAATAATTTTTTCCTTACCAGAGATACCTAGTTGCTTTATTTTCTTCCACATTGTGACTCTCTGTTACTTAGAAGAACAGTAACGTTGGTAAAGAGCAGGCATCCATGCTCCATTTCATTAGCTTCATAAACTTGACAAATAGCTTCTTTTAGCCTCATTCGTCTTAACCATAAAAGGAGTGTGATCCTTACTCCAGAAGGATATTATAAGAATGCATTAGAAAATATAAAACAAAACAAACTCCAAAGCACCATACAAATCTTAGTTTTATAGGATAAGCATAAATGCCCTCCCATCTAAAATAAAACATTTTCCTTTTTCCGTGATTCTTCTATTAAACCAAACCAAGATGTCTTACTGTAGAAAACTTGGGTTATTAATACAAGTTTTTTGATAAAGATAGTAGGTGATTCAGTCCAATGGAACAGCATGATTTCTGTTTTGCTCTTTCCATTTTTCAGTTTTTTTTCACATTTCCCAAAGTCTGGTTTGAAACCCAAGTGAAGTAGATAATCAGGTATGACTCCAATACTCAGAGGGAAATATAAGCCAAAAAGATATCTGGAAATTTTCTGCATATACCTTCAATTCATTTCATCCAAGCATTGATTAAAACAGTTTTGTCTCTTTTTATATATACTTTCCCCCTAAATAATCATTGTGTTTTGTGTAACCCTCTAGTCAGCTATTTAGCTACCTAACAGTAGAGTTTAGGCTTCGTGTCTTTAGTTTTTGTTTGCTTTTCTGAATGTTAAAATGTTTAAAGAATTACCAAAGAGAGTGGTTATTTAAAATATTCTTGATGTTATTGTAGAAATATTAAAGTGGTGAATAGCATGTAGCCTATAGAAGTGGTAACACAGTTATATATTGATTCGGATAGTTGTTCACAATCTATTGCTAAGTTAAAAAATAAAAGCAATATATGCTTTGGCAGGCTGAGGCAGGCAGATCACATGAAGTCAGGAGTTCGAGACCAGCCTGGCCAACACGGTGAAACCCCCTCTCTACTAAAAATACAAAAATTAGCTGGACGTGGTGGCAGGCACCTGTAATCACAGCTACTCAAGAGGCTGAGGCAGGAGAATAGCTTGAATCCAGGAGGCAGAGGTTACAGAGAGCCAAGATCGTGCCACTGGACTCCAGCCTGGGTGACAGTTCAAGACTCCATCTTTTTTTTTTTTTAAAGCAAATTATAGAATGCATCTGATGTCTATAGTTACTTATCTCTACATGCCTGAGGGAAAGCCTGGAATGCTGTGTACTAAAGCATTACGATGATAGGATTGCAGATTATCTTTATTTTCTGTTTTCCCTTTTCCTTTTGTTTATATTTTCTGCTTTTTATATAGTGAATATACTTTGCTTGTGTAAAAAAAAGGAGGGTAACAGCCTTCTATAGTATATTATTCTACTTACTAGGATTTGCTTTTTAAATCTGAGACTGTTCTAAAAACTAAGAGATGTAGTTAGGAAAATTCCAGGTTCTTGTCCACATGAAGTATCTAATGGGCTAACACTGTGAATAACTTTGGACAACAGCTTCCACACACACAGGTGGATAAACTGTCAGCTCAGTGACGAGGAAAAATCAGAAACTGGTATTGGAACTTACTAACAAATACAAACATAGAAGTTAAATAAGTAGTTTACTGAAGAAGAAAAATAAACTATTCCCATTTCAGAAGATAACAAAATATGTGGATAAAAACCTGACCATAAGTAAACGTTTTTATTTTTATCTCTGCAGCAGTTTGGCAAAATCCTAGATGTAGAAATAATCTTTAATGAACGTGGCTCTAAGGTAAGCTCCATTTCAGTGTCAAGTGTGCTTGATTTCTTTTTGAGTTTTATGTTATTTTAAATAGCAAGTATTCAGAAAACATAAGCTGTTTTCAAGCCTGCATAAAAGTATCCTAATTATCCACCTTGGTTTAGATTATCTCTAAAAATAAGCTACCACATGGCCAAACTTTATTCTGATACTTATATGGGGGTGGAAGGGTGATGAAGTAAGAAGCAGAGAAGGTTGAGGGAAGAGTGGGACGTAAAGAACACAGGATGTAGGAGATGACAGTGCTTTATGAGCCTTAAATTCGGCCTCAGCTTTCTCCGTTTAAAGGAAAAGTGCAAAGACTAAATAAAGTGAAATTCTATGAGAATTCTATTCTGAATTCTATCAGAACAATTCAACCAAAATCCAACTTCAAAACAGCATACTTAGAACAAATTTAATGTTTTGATTATTCAGTTAACTTGCAGTCTCTTTTGAAAATTGTGACAAGACTTAAACAGAGTGAGCAATAACTGAGGAATTCAGTATGAACTGATTTCCTTAAGTTCTACCCACATAGGCAATCCTCAGGATGTAGAGTCACCTAAATCACAAATACAGTGAGTTAGTTTTTTTTGCATAAGAATGAAAGTAGTAAGTGTGTACTTTTACGTGTGTATTTTCCTCTAAATGTGTTCTATATAAGAACTGAAATTTTTAATTAAAATTTATTTCCCCTATTAGGCTGGGCGCAGTGGCTCACGCCTGTAATCCCAGCACTTTGGGAGGCTGAGGCGGGCGGATCACCTGAGGTCAGGAGTTCGAGACCAGCCTGGCCAACATGGTGAAACTCTGTCTCTGCTAAAAATACAAAAATTAGCCAGGCCTGGTGGCACACGCCTGTAATCCCAGCTACTCGGGAGGCTGAGGCAGGAGAATCACTTGAACCCAGGAGGCAGAGGTTACAGTGAGCCGAGATTGCGCCACTGCACTCCAGCCTGGGTGACAGAGCAAGACTGTCTCAAAAAAAAAAAAAAAATTATTTCCCCTATTTACTATTTTAAATTCCCAATCTGTATGATTTAGAATTTCCATGCATTAAAAGAAACAGCAATGTTTTTAAGAACAAGGGAATGGCAAAGACTTACAGTGGTGTTGTGAAAAAAAAAAAAAGTATTTGATGAACTGAATATTTGCACATGTTACTTGAGAGTTTTCTCACTGCTTATTAAATGAAATACATCCTACTGAAACCATCAGCCATAGCCAAGCCTATAAATATTTACCTTGCTGTTGCTACTTTCATTTGTTAGGTTAGAGCAATTTTTTAGTTAATTTTCATTTGGTCATCTCTGCTGAACTTTGAAAATAGCTTTTGGCTATGGTTAAATCTCTTAAACATGTAATTTGAGGGAAAGCTAAATAAAGCCAATAAATGAGCTAATATTTACCTCTCCAATTTCATACTCCAAATTCACCATACTTTGGGAATTGATAACAGAGTTTATATACCTCCTGTCCCCATCTGTACACTTAAAAATGTATGTGCTGTTCTAATGCTACTTATTATTATTCCCTTCCTTTGTAGAATGTATCAACACTAAAAGTGTTTAATCCTGACTATAACAATTATTTGTTAACTATTAAAGGGGTAATTATACTCTAAGCTTCCAGTTTTCAGTTAAAACAAAAATGATTAATATGCCTATACAGAACTTTCTCCAGCACTTGGTAAGTATTTTTTAAAGTGAAGTCTATTCAGACTGCAACCAGTAAACTATTTATGCTTATAATTTTTCTCACGATGGATTTCTGTTCCTTTGTTGCATTGTTTGTGTTTATTTTATGTGATCTTTTTTAGCTACAAGGTGGGAAAATGACAGTGGTTTAGAGATAAGAAGCACATGAATGTAAAATAAATATGTGGAGATTTTTGGCCACTCTGTAAACTACTATCTGAAGTAGTTTTAAATATTTTTAGTTGTTAAGTGTATGTACTTAAAATATTCTTAACTAGAATCTAACAACTAGAAGGCCAATGTAGTTTCATCAGGCATTGAGGACTTACTCCTTACCAAGAAAATAATTTGTTTGAATTATTGTGAAGCAAAGGAAATTGATCTTTCTTAAGGCTTCTTTCATTGACTTTAAGGATTTGCCTGCTACCAATTCTTTTTCTTTTCTTTTCTTTTCTTTTTTTTTTTTTTTTTTTTGAGGCAGATTCTCGCTCTGTTGCCCAGGCTAAAGTTGCATTGGCACAGTCTTGACTCACTGCAACCTCCGCCTCCTGGGTTCAAGCAATTCTTGTGCCTCAGCTTCCCGAGTAGCTGGGATAACAGGCGCACACTACCACCCCTAGCTAATTTTTGGTATTTTTAGTACAGACAGAGTTTCACCATGTTGGCCAGGCTGGTCTCAAACTCCTGGTCTCAAGTGATCTGCCTGCCTTGGCTTCCCACAGTGCTGGGATTACAGGTGTGAGCCACTGCATCCTGGCCCCACATTTTTTTAAATTTACCTGATCCAATTACTTCTCTCATGTAACTCATTTGAAAGTAATGACATGAGCTTTCTCTTTGAGAAATCTAAAAGCATAGGCTGCTTCTGTCAGCTTGATGCTGTGTCCTCACTGCCCCATTTTTCTTTGGGCTGCTAAAGGGTGCACAGACTGTGTACTAATTGGTAAATGTTTTAAAAACAAAGCATAGAATTCAGAATTGCCCTGAATCTGCCTTCAAGGACTGATACAAAACCTTGTTTTTGTCCTTTGAAGCTTTCTTAACTGCTACCTAAAGTTATTTGCTGGAATGGGTGCCCTTGGAACTGTTCTGAGGCTCCTAATAGAGATTTATTTTGGAATCAAACCCATGGATGCCTCCTCTGGGATCCACCTAAGAGAAATTAATGAGCACTTTTTGTTTTGTGAATTAAGTTTAGTTTCTTAATCCTTTTATATGTTTGGGGTTGACTGTAAAATTACAGCGTATTTTGAAAATAACCAGAGAAAAGGAGGCTTTATATAGTCCTATTGTTTAGCTAAGAGTTCCTCTAACTTTTAAACAGAGTGCTTTTCTGTACAGAAATTAGCTTTATTGAATTTTTTTAGAGCAGTAATGGAAAAACTAGTCACAAAATAACTCTAAGATAGCAATACTTAATGTAAAACAGGGTTTAATCAAATTGTTCCAAAGCAAAAAGCAACTCCATACCATATCTTATTTTGTATAATAAGACCATCACCCAGGGTTTTAGGATATACCCATTTGAAAACATAAGTAAACGGTGTTCCACTGCCATGCTCATGCCCTCCTTGTCTGCCAGTATTCTTCTTTTTCCAGCTTGCCTTTAAAGTAGAATTACTCTATAGTAGTTTTTTCTTAGTTGTTGACTAGTTTTTTCCTTTTTTCCTTCTTTTGCCTTCATATTCTAGATTTGGCTTACTTAGATTATAGAATGAATATATATCATATTTGTGCACACACGTGCATACATATATATTTAAATTATTTCATGTGAATTTTAGTCTTTTTACTCCCTAATCCTTTATAAAAACATAGAATCACCTGTATCTAAGTTTCTTTGATTAACTGAAACAGAGATAGACTAGGCTTTTAAAAATGTACTATTAAGATATATGATGGAAAGTGGTATTCCTGCCAAAAAATTAACTAATTTATTCATATAGAACCTAGAAAATTATTATATGAGTTTATGTAGCTTTGTTAATTCTCCAGATTTCACCAGTAATGACAGATTATTAACACAAATAATAAGATAATGCCTAGAGTGACCATATTTCCTGGCTTATCCAGGCTAGCCTCAATTTACACCTGTTATCTTAGCATAATTATTAATAAATGACCCCTTTCTCTCTCAGAATGTCCCAGTTTGAATGATAAACTATTTACTCTCCTTATATATGCTTTGGGTAACATCTTAAAAAAGCAGTCTTTGAAAAGGAAAACATGATGCTTAATGAAAAGTATAAAGAAAAAAATACATAGTTTATTAAAGAGAAATGTGCACTAGTGATATTCTCATGTATCCTTCTAGTCTTATTTTCTCATATAGAACCTTAAAACATAACCCAAAATGGTCACCTAGTTCAGCCCCCTGTATTCTTGACCTTGCATTCTCTGCTAGAAACTTTTAGTGATTAAGAACTTGTTTTATTCAAAAGTTATTCCATTGTGGGTCAGACTTTCTACCATCTTACTCACCATCATCCAACCACATAACAATTTTTGGTGATAATTATCAAGCTTATTAAATAAAGAAATACACAGATTGTAACATTTACATTTTCTATAAGTTTTTGCCAAAATACTTTGGTATATCCTCTATTGAATGGATATGTATTAAAATATTGAATATGCTGAAGTTGTTCAGCTCTTCAGATAGTGCTCATTATTAAGTCTACTAAAGGACTACAAATATTATACAGCCCAGCAATAATTATTTAGATTTCTAGCAATTTTTTTTCTTTTTTAAAAATTGATAGATATTAGATGTACATATTTTCAGGGTATATGTGATAATCTGATACATTCATATAATCAAATCAGAGTAATTGGGATAGCCATCACCTTAAATATTTATCTTTTCTTTATGCTAGGAACATTCTAATTATTCTAGCAAATGTTTACTTAATGTGTTCTCATTACTTCTCTCAGGTAGATTTCTGGAATAATGGGGATCTAGGTTTAGGTTGGGCTTAAGTTTAGGCTGTAGTTAGGGGAGATAAAACTTCTATTCCCATTCCTTAGACACAAGTAATTTGCTGTAATGTTTTCCCTATTATCATGGCTTTTAATTTCATGCAAAGGGAAATTATTTATTTCTTTCAAAATATTATCAAAATACTTTTTTGGAAGTCACAGTAAGTAGGCCTTTTGACTTTCAGTAAAACTTAATAGGTAATGTCAAAGTGAAATGGTTTTTATTATATTTAAAACAGAATTAACAGTGCATGTGTTTCTGAAGGGCTTAGTTTGTTTTTTTTTTTTCTTTTGTTACCATTATGGGCTTTAGTTTTATATTTTTTTTATTTATTTTTAAATTTCTGTGTTCTGGCCATACCCAGGAGATCTGTCTGCTTTTGATTTCTCCCTTAAAAGTTACATGGTAAATTTTCTTTCTCATTCTTCTGAGATCGAAAAATTCAAAAATTATACAAATTTTAATAATATTTTTACAATGTTCATTCTATTGCTAGTTATTTATTGCAGTCTGAGGCCAGACTAAAAAGGTGACAGTTACTTGGCTCCTATATGTCCTCGATGATGTAAAGGCAGGCTGTGAAATTGCTGTCACACTTTGTAGAAGTTTTAACTACAACCATACACCTAATAAATACACCATTCTTCAATTTCCAGAAGTCAGCTAAGATACCTGGTAAATCACTAATGTAACACTGGTGTGTTTAAATGTTTAATATAGAAGGGCTCTGAGGACTGCAAACTTAGAGGAGTATAAAGTGTAGAGACCTGCATTGCCCAGCACAGTGGTCACATTTAGCACTTGAAATTTGGAGAGTTTAAACGGAGGTGTGCCTGTAAGGGTAAAATGGACACCAGATTTCAGAATTAGCACAAAAAAAGAATGTTAAGCATCTCACTAATAATGTTTTAATATTAATACCATATTGAAATGTTAATAATATGTGTTTATATTGGGTTAAATAAAATACATTGTTAAAATTAATCTCACCTGTTTCTACTTTTTAAATGTGGTTATTAGAAAATTTTAAATTATATATGTGGTTTGTATTATATTTCTGTCTGCAGTGCTAGTGTAGACAAACATGTCAAAATCATTTTTTAATTAAAAATTAAAGTTTACTTTTTTAAAATCTGATTTTATGAATAGAAGTTTAGATAACAAAAATTCTCCATCTGTTTACATAGCTGAAATATTTCCTCTTGTTCAGAATTTGAGATTAAATCTGTTTGTTACAGATTATATAATCTATTTGTTACATATATTATACCGGTGTAGACTGGTTCAGTGTTTGATAGGTTGTATGATCATTTGGAAGCTGTTCTAAGGAAAATACTTTAGATTTAGACATAATTTTACTGACTTTTTTTTCCAAAGCAAGAGATCAGAATGACCAACTTAATGTCAATTCAATTTCTAAGAGTGAAGTGACAAAACATGAGTTCATGTAAGCAGACTTTTCTACTGATAACTTTTAAACCTGGATAATCTGTGAACATCTTTAGCACTGTTTCTGGCACCTTTTCTAAAATGCTAAATTTTATTGAAGAAATAGTATATTCTAAAAATATTTTAAGATCTGAGTTCATGTTACTGAAACTAAATTGTGAATGTGATAGATAAGGAAGCATGTTTGGGTTGATGGAAAATCACCTGTTTAAAGTTTAAACATGAGAGAAAAGTATTTAAGAACAGTACTTCAAAAATTCTAGTCATACCTCTCACTTTCCTAATCATGGACTTTAATTCTAAGAGGTATGTATTAATTCCCTATGACTTCTGAACAGATTACCACAAGTCGGGTGGCTTAAAACCACACATTTATTATCTTACAGCTCTGGAGGTCAGAAGTCCAAAATGGCTCTCACAAGGCTAAAATCAACGTGTTGGGTTCTTCAGGAGGCTCTAAGGGATCATCTGTTTTCTCCCCTTTTCTATCTTCTAGAGGCTGCCCACATTTCTTGGACTATAGCTCCCTTCTGTCTTCAGAGCCAGCAATGGCCAGTCAAGTCTTTCTCAGGCTGCTTTACTCTGATTCGGACTCTCCTGTGTCCGCTTTTCACTTATAAGCACAGTACAGTGGCCACGTTGGAACACTGTATTACATTGGGCCCAACTGGATAATCCAGGATAATCTCTCTATCTCAAGATCATTAACTTAATCGCATCTGCAAAATCCCTTTTGCCGTGTAAGGTAACATATTCACTGGCTCTGGGGATTAGGATGTGGACAACTTTGGGAAGCCATTATTTGGCCTATTGCAAAGTCTGTTTATCTTCAAAGCAAAGAAAGAAATCTTCTTACCTTTATGTTTCATATTAAAGAGTCCCAAAACATCAACAAGGCTTTCTTCCTCCTATCACCCCAGGGAAAAGATGCTTATAAAGATTGCTTTATTTTTATGTTTTTGGTATCTTGATTCGCATTTCCTTTGGTGTATAAGCATCTTTCTTTATAAAACACTTTTAAAACATTTGAAAGTGAAATTTTGTTCCAGAATGTTAGTCATTATTGAGAAAATCTTATCCAAGCAGACATGAATGTTAAACTTTGACATTTGCTGACTGTGAAATTGCAGTGCTCATCATACCACCTTCCATTCTTTTGGATGCAGTTATTGTATCACTAATGTTCTTTCAACACATTTCAGAAAAGAAGGTTATGGAAGATACTTAGCAATTAGATTTGAAAAAAGATAGAAGGATTTTAGGACTAATATAGTTTAGTAAATAGAATACTGAACTGAGATTTGAAAAGGCTTAGAATTTTCTCACCATTAGCTGGATATCCTTGGGTACTTAATCTCAGTTCGACTCAGTTTCTTTACCTTCAAAATGAAACCAATATGTCTATTCTTTTTACTTCATGGTTATATTTAAGAAGAAAAACTAGTATGTATATTTGTATGTGGGTGTGTAGATATAGTCATAATGCTAATATCAAAAACCTAGGTCTTAGTTTTCATATAACTTAATAGTAATCCAACTATTAATTTACAATGTATTAATTTAACCTAAGTCATAAAATATATGACTGTAAGGACCAGTTGAAATACAGCCAAAATGCCCTTAAAGTGTGATATTAAAACTCATCACTCTGTGACCTTTCTTTAAAAGTTTGACTTTCCTATTGGAGGACTCACTAGGATTAGAGAACTGGCAGCTTGTCTTCAGCAGGTGCTAGTGTAGATGACAAATGGTATAACTAATTATTAATGTGCCCTTTTATACCTTGTGGTGTCAAAGTGGCTATAAATGTTGATATCAAAATTTCATTTATAAAAATATGTTCCTGTTGATATTTTCAACAAACTTACACATTCTTTAGGAGAGTATTAACTGAAATTACCAGTAGTATTTCATTCCAAGCAACATACGTTTTAAAATCTCTATCAGCTTAGCATTTTGCTTTCAAGGGTATTTGTGATGTCCAAATTGTGGGTAGAGATCATCCATTGGAATTCTCCAAAACACCACCCACCCACATAATCACTTAGAATGCTGAGTTATCAGATCCTTCAAAACAATGGAGTTGCTTTTATAAAATTTTATTAAGCAACGCGCATTGTTTACCGTGTCAGTTAAGAACATGTTTTATATAGAGAGAATTGTGCTCATGTTATTAAGCAGCTAGGCAGAACTTCAGTTAAAATTAAAGGGTTCTGGGTTATCCTACAGTGGAATATTCAAAAAACGCTAGCAGGACAATGAAGTTATTGGCAAATGAAGACTTTGTAGAAAATCCTAAGACTTTACCACTTTGCAGATATAAGCAGCATGGAAATTATTTGTAAAATTATAGCTGCAGAGTAGAACGATAAGGACAGAGCACCTAGAATGAAGTGAATATGATGTTTTAGGAAAGTCATATAAGTATATAGTAAATGCTCCTGGTGTTAAAATTGGTAGTACGTGAACATCGGAGTGAAGGTAGTCAACTCCCTGGTCTCCTGATTTGTCTACTTAATGAGTTAAAGCTCCACTCCATTTTTATAGTATCTTGCAAGGAACAAACAAATTAATCCTAAGTCATTATACCAGCTGCATTGCTGTTTTCTGATATCCTTTTTCTACTGAATAGTGTACAACTGATGTCACTAATGTAGATCTCATTCCCATTGCCTGTTGACTGTTCCTTTTTTCTCTATATATAGAAAGTTACTACTACCTTTAATAGCAGGTATAAACATCAATAAATGAATAATTTAGGCAAATTTGGGTTAGCAGTTTTCTGAAATTCAGTTGAACATATTTTTACTCTAAGTGTCAATCTGGTCATTTAAAAAGGGCATTGAAGAAAAGTTATAATTGACCACTGCTTAGTGATATTTTTATTTGCTTAGAAGAGCATGAATGCTCTCCTCTCCCACACCCAGTACATAGAAAATTGTACACCGACTATGCCCTAAGTTATCCTGTTCCCAAAGGAATTAATAGTGATAAAAGCAACAGGCAACGTGGGGCTAAAATGATTAGACCTACTTTAAAAAAAATCTCATTATGCAATGTTGAACCTGAATGTCAGATTTCATGTAGCAGTTACTGGAAAATAATAGATTTGGGATGTCAGAGAGTCAATTTAATTAAGTCTTTTTTAGTATTACATAAAGGGGCATGTATATTAAATTAATAACATGAATTGAGAGAGAAAGGTAGGGCATTAAAAAATCTTCAGATTTTTGGTTGAATAGTTTGACCCGAGTAACTCTGTACCTTAATTTTGGTCTGGCCTCATATGCTTTATGTTTTATTTTATTATTGTTACATTGCTGTTAATTATTATTATTATTACAGTTCTTTATTCTTTTATTGGATTTAATTTCCCTTTACAAATATGCATGGACCAAAAATGTGACTTTGGGAGATTATTGCTGAGTTGTTGCTGATGTCAGTTTCATACTATGATATTTTTTCTCTATTTACCAAGAGATCAGTATTTCAATATAACGATGTGCATGTTTTCCCCCCTTCTCCCGCTGCATGCAGGGATTCGGGTTCGTAACTTTCGAGAATAGTGCTGATGCAGACAGGGCCAGGGAGAAATTACACGGCACCGTGGTAGAGGGCCGTAAAATCGAGGTGCATGTCTTTAATAATTCAATTTCTGGTTTATATTTTTATTTCTCTTTTTTCGTGTTGCCTCACTTAGTTCACATTTGGAACCCTGTCTTATGTGTGCGTGTGCACATGTATGTGTGTTTGTATCTCTGTCTTCTTCACCTTCTTGCACTAAAATGTATAAAAGTAACACTTCTATCTGCCTCCCTCCTCATTTATTGGTTGTTTGGGGGTTTTAATTTTGACTGTGTGTGTGTGCGTGTGTGTGTGTTTGTTTTTCATTTATGTTTTTCCTTCAAAATGTTGATCTTTCTGCTCTCTTGATTTTTTTCCTTTGCTTCAGTTTGCAATACTCTGAATTCCTGTGATCAGGCCTAAGCAAAACTAATGTTAAATTGTCTAAAAACTATCCAGTTTATAACACTGTGTTCTATAATGAATCAAGGGGCCAGCCAATATCCTCTCTCTTGGGAGGCCAGTTCGCCTCTTTGTGCACATGATAAGCACGAAATAGAAGATTCTAGAGATTGTGGGGAGGGAGGAAATAATCCAAAACTCGTGTAGTTTTTAAATATATCTAATACCAAGAATTTTGGTATCTAAATTTTTATGGATAAAATTCTTAAACAGAGGGTATGATGGCTGGCTGGCGAATGTACTGTGATTATGACCAAGTCTACCGCCTGGTATTCACCAGCCCTTTTTGATAACACATCGAAGGTTAACTGGCTCCTTTCCCCTTTCCCAATTTTTTAAAGTATTAAATGTAAAAGCCACCATTTTGAGTAAGATGTCTGCATATTTTGCTTTTTTTCCCCTCCTTTCCAATGGTTTAGCATTTAGGGCCCTTCACTTGACTCACTCTTTCCATGGTAACTATACACAATGCTGGCGATGGTGCCCGTTGGCGGTAAGTGAACAAAAGCACTAGAGAAGAAGCTTTTAAAAATGTAATTACAAAACAATTAAATAAGAAAGAAAAAGTCCATCTGCCATCTCACATTAACACTACAAAATGTGATTTGACTTGTTGTTCCTCTTCCTTTTCCTTTCCCCCTTTTATTTTCAATGCTGTTGAGTAATGCCGCCTGGATTTTGGATGTACATATTGTTTTGTAGCGGTCTGAGCTGTTTGATTACTGACTTCATGGTGATTTTTTTCCCCTTGCACATCTTACTCAGAGTTACTGAACTCCAGTTTGGCTGGTTTTATTAATGCACTTCCTGCCCCTACATCCTTCCCTACTTTTCCTGTTTCCCAAACCCCCGTTTGTAGCTCTGACTGTTCTTTCTTTGCCCGTTACACCCTTCCTGACTTTCTCTTTTCTTTTTCCCTACCTTACTCTCTTTTTCCGGATCCTTGTTCCTGTCCCTTTCCCTATTCTTCCTTTCCCATCCCTTCAGTTACACGCAGCTGTTGGTCTCTTTTGCTGACTGGTGGTTTCTGATTGGTTCTGGCCATTTTTCCTTTTAAGTGCTTGGTTGCTTTCTGCTCCAGCAGCTGGTTTCAGCTCTTGCTCCATTCTAATCCTTGTCTGTGAGAACCTTGCTTTTCAGTTTCTCCCCTCTTTCCAAAATTGATTGTTTTTTCTTTCTTTTATTTGTGTGTGTGTGTTTTTTAACTGCATGCTCTCAGTCTCATCATTGTTGTATCCCATTCTTTCTTTTTAAATGTGAAACGTTTATATTATTTGGTGGGCGAAGCTAGAGTAAATGGAGTTTCAAGCTCTTTCCTCATATGGGGGATTATCACTGTACAAATCTTAAAAGACATAGGAAGAGGTTTTTTTTTTAGTTCTAATTCTACCTAAAATTGGTCTTTTCATAACAAAAATTTATTACCATACAAATTGAACACAATGTAAATTTGAAGAGGCAAAAATAAGACATTTATATTTTATGCTTCTTTTTTCAATTGGCATGTTTTATGACCTGACAACACAGTATAAGTCAAGTTCTATGGTGGAGCTTTACCCTCCTTGCAAGAGCTTTGAGACTGGTTCTGTCACTGGGCTGCAGTATGCTGACATCTTAGTTCCATTCATCTTTTCTTCAGCAGCAGCATCTTTGTAACACCTACTTACTCTAGCACTGAGAATGCTTTAAAATATGCAGTTCTGTAATGAGGGTGGAGAGTACCATAAAACAAAATAAATAAACACTTTATTTTCTCAATTCTTTTAAGTGCCTACTTTAAAGGCTTTCTTAAAAGCTTTGTTCTTAAATTGATAGACCATGTAGTCTAGAAAATTCAGAATGGTCCTGAAGGCTGTCAGCAGGGGAATCTTAGGTTTCTATATTTGTTTACTTACCTCAGACAGTAAAAATCTCTGACAGACATATTTAAAATGCTGAACATTAGGACAGGTGAAATCAGATTTATTTTATCACCTTTCCATCAATCTATTTCATAACCCATGTGGCAAGCCTCTGTTTTATTAACAGACTTCAAAGTGAATTGCTAATATAGTTTCCTATTTACTTTTTTCTGTGTTTTCCTTAGTGCAGAGATTTCTCTGTTAAAAAGATGTCCAAAGATCTTGCAAATGTATTTTCTTTGGAGTACTGATATTTGGAAACCAAGAAACTCACTTTACTCTTGTTATCCTCATTTGATAAGAACTTTAATTAAAATACTATATATTAATATTTTATATTGCTGTGTTAATTATTTAAATCACTGCTCTCAGAAATTTACATTTTAAACTAAATACTCTGTTATTGGATGTGCAACTTTATGTTCCCTAATGTGGTCCACTTCTTCCCTGCCCTTTTTTCTCCTTGTTATTTTTAGGTGAATAATGCTACAGCACGTGTAATGACCAATAAGAAGATGGTCACACCATATGCAAATGGTAAGAAATTATAATCTTCGAAAGAGTGTTTATTCTTGTGTAAATATATGAAGTTTTTATAAACTTCTAAGAATGTCTTTATTTCCGTCTTAAGACAGTTTGATTTGTGTTGAAGTAGTCTCTTTACCTGGGAGAGTATTTTATTTTTACAGAATAACTTTGTCATTACAATTGAGCTAAGTTTTTAGTTATTAAGGTGTTATGTTCTAAGTAATGTTCATCTTTTACACAGTGCAAACATGCTATCTAGTTGCCTATTAACCCAAATTGGATCCCACCTGAGCACCTTCTTTTTCAGCTGCTGTAGCTCTTTCTAATATGTTAGACTTGTCCGTAATACCCCTGGATGCCCACTGACTCTTACTTTTAGTTCTGACTTTCATTCATCTGAGCATAAGTGGAATAAATTAGGAGGATATTTTAATCACTTTTATAATTCTGGACCTGTTGCTCTCCTTAGCCCTAGAGATAACAGCCATGGGTATGGTTGTGTGTGTATCATTTTCTGTTTCATGATTACATATTATATAGTAAGGTTTATAAGTTTTTCTCATTGAGAAGGAAATTTTCTATGAATAATTTGTTACATCAGTTACCAAATTTAATCTAGACTCATGGTCTCTGAATGAGATGGAATATAAATTTAATCTGTAGCCCAGTGGTGGTTTTGCAGACTGTTCTGCAGAGCCAGTTTGGGAGAGAAAAAGGAAACCAAATGGATTGAATTCTGAGGTCTCAGCTGTACTTTAGTCTGAGCAATTAGGGTTCTGCATAAGCTTTTACTAATATCTAGAATAAAGGGGGGAGTTTCTGCTGGAGTTTTTTTTTTTTTTTTTTTGAGACGGAGTCTCGCTTTGTCACCCAGGCTGGAGTGCACTGGCGCAATCAAGGCTCACTGCAAGCTCTGCTTCCCAGGTTCACGCCATTCTCCTGCCCTCAGCCTCCCGAGTAGCTGGGACTACAGGCGCCCGCCACCACACCTGGCTAATTTTTTGTATTTTTAGTAGAGATGGGGTTTCACCGTGTTAGCCAGGATGGTCTCAACCTCCTGACCTCGTGATCCGCCCACCGTGGCCTCCCAAAGTGCTGGGATTACAGGCGTGAGCCACCATGCCTGGCTCTGCTGTTTTTTTAAAAAGTTTGAACCCACTGCTAGAGTATGGCTGTATGTGCTAATAATGTCTTAAATCAAGGAGAAATGTATCCGTATTGACTATATCCCATAAAGTCTTCAATAAATATATTTAGCCCAGCTTTTCACATAGATGATACAAATTTATCAGCATAATTTGCATTTTTCCTTACTCCTTTTATCGGTATGATACCACTGCCTCCCACTTTACCTCTTATTTTCTTTTCACTGCTCTTACAAAAACAAGTCTCTACAATTTTGATAAAAACTCAAAGTAAACAAAATAGAAAGGAGAGGCAAAGAATGTCAAATTTTCTTTACATCTAAGGGAAATATTGTGACAGAAAGAGCCTCTGACTGGAATTCAGAAAACAGACGTTCTCCTTCTAGGTTTGACTCTTTATTTACTCCGTGACAGTGGACCAGTTTTTTAACCTAATTCTGTTTTCATATTTATAAATTGAGACCACAGATTTTTGGCACCAGGATTTTTTAAGAAATTATTGAAACTCAACCCTCCCAGCTTATTATTAGGAAATGAGACCCAGAAAAGTATAGTATTGACCTCAGATTGCAGATGTGGTATCTATTTTACCTTCCTCTTTGGGTTTTGTGAAGGTCAAAGGGCATCTGTGAAAATACATTGTAAATTTTCTAAAACTAAATATATTCAAAGTATTACTAACAACATGTCAATATACATCCATTATATTGATTTTTGTTTTTGTTTTGAGGCAGAGTCTCTCTGTCACCTAGGCTGGAGTACAGTGGTGCGATCTCAGCTCACTGCAACCTCCACTTCCCGGGTTCAAGCGATACTCGTGCCTCAGCCTCCAGAGTAGCTGGGATTACAGGTGTGTGCCACCACATCCGGCTAATTTTTGTATTTTTAGTAGAGACGAGGTTTTGCCATGTTGGCCAGGCTGGTCTCGAGCTCCTAGACTCAGGTGATCCCTCCGCCTCAGCCTCCCAAAGTGCTGGGATTACAGGCTTGAGCTACGGTGCCTGCCCATTATGTGGATTTAAAGGGAATGCTCAGGCAATAGTGGCATTGGTAGGAAAGAAAAAGGTTATTTTTTAAAATATTATTCTAAATTAATATTCAGGTTTAGTAGGCAAGAAACCTTCTGCTATTGTGTTAAAGGTCCTAAGAAGAATTTGTTGGGTTCCTCCTAATGAATTCTCAGTCAGCATTCTCATTTAGGTTGGTTGGAATCTCTTAATTTGTGCAGAAATGTTGCACAGTATTTGTGTAATTTGATGTTGCAGAATATTTGTGTTCTTACAATTCAAGTAGGATTTGAACCTAGATTTTGCCAGAATTTTATGTGGAATATTGAAGAGACATTGCATTTTATGAGCACATAAAATGATGAATAAGAGATTGGATTGAATCAGAGTGAATAGGTTTTCACTTGAATAATGTCTTGCTTACAGTCATTTAAATCTGGTAATTTCAATAATTCTTTTGAAAAGGCCAATTGTGGCTGGACGCAGTGGCTCAAGCCTGTAATCCCCAGCACTCTGGGAGGCTGAGGCGGGTGGATCACCTGAGGTTAGGAGTTCAAGACCAGCCTGGCCAACATGGTGAAACCCCATCTCTACTAAAAGTATAAAACTAGCCAGGCATGGTGGCACGTGCCTGTAGTCCCAGCTACTTGGGAGGCTGAGGCATGAGAATCACTTGAACCCAGGAGCCGAGGTTGTGGTGAGCCGAAACTGCGCCACTGCACTCCAGCCTGGGTGACAGAGCAAGACTCTGTCTCAAAAAAAAAAAAAAAAAAAAAGAGGAGGCCAATTCTGGCCTTTTTCTTTTCATTCGTATATTTATAGAATAGTGTGGCACAATGCTAGGGTCTTAATATAAAAAGACAAATGAGTCAGAAAATATATAATATAGAGTATTTTTGCTTATATGTAAAATTCAGTTAATATTGATTAAAGTTTTCATGTGGAATTCTACTTTTATTCACTCGCAGTGAGCAATCGTATATTATTCCTTTTTAAAAAATACTTGCCATATTCCTATAAATATAAAAAAGGGAAAGAAGAAATAAAGTTGACATTAAACATAATGTTATTTGGAAACTCTTAATATTTATAAATATTTAAGCTAATGTTCCACAGTATTCTGGTGTTCTTTAGCTAAGAAGTCTGATTAACTTAAAGGTGATTATTACACATTAAAGCCTCAGAAAACATGCACTGAAGTTGGGAATGTACCTTGAATTTTACTATTTCATGTCTTTCCTTTTTTAGTTGGTGAACCCCAGTAAAATCCCAATGGTAAATCCGAGTAAAAGTGGATTTCAGTTTACCTGGAATACCAGCATTGTATAGCCAAACATGGAGTCAAAGATCTAGGTTGAATTTGAGTTCAGCCCATGGATACCTTTATTAAAACAACTAGAGTAATAAACAGGGTTGAGAAAATGCATCACAGCATGGTTCAGAGTGACATATAGTCGGCCTTCTTTTTTTAAATGAAGGATAGGTCATCCAGGGTAATTCTGTGAGAACACTTTACCAAACTCTAGGATTTATTTCTATTTATTTTTTCTCCTCTCATTCCCTCTCCATCTTCCTCCTCCCAACATCATGACACCTGCCAAGCCCCCCAGCCCCAGCCCCTCATTATCTCTTCACTGTGTCCTAGTTCTACTACTGTTACTCTCTCATATAAACCCCAAGCTGGAATTCCAAAGAGAAGTTGATAATAGGCAAAAATAGCCCCAGAGATGGCTGAAGCCAACTTGACATGCACTGATCATCCCTTTCCTCAAACAGTCTTAAATGCTTACCTTCCATTTTGTGTGTTTCAGGTTGGAAATTAAGCCCAGTAGTTGGAGCTGTATATGGTCCGGAGTTATATGCAGGTAGTATTTAAGTAAATGTTTCCACTTGTGCTATTTAATTGTAATAGCATCTGCTGTTTTTCAATTTGTGACTCCTTTTTAATCTTCTTGCATTTTTAAATTTTTTAAAAATCCAATCAGCATCCAGCTTTCAAGCAGATGTGTCCCTAGGCAATGATGCAGCAGTGCCCCTATCAGGAAGAGGGGGTATCAACACTTACATTCCTTTAATCAGTAAGTAGCCTATGTTGGCCTGGCATGGATTTTGACTGTTGTGAGTGAACTATCATGTACTGTTTTTTTTTTTCCTAGTACAGTACATAACTGAAATGGAAATTTCTTGAGAGGGATATTAAATACTATCCCAGTGCCCTGTCCTGCTTAACCTGTGCTAGAATTTTCCTGACCAAATATTAAGATTGCACAAAGCAGAAATAGTTGGAAAAGGTAGAGGGGGTAAGGGCATATGAAGAATATTTTAGTCTGTACTTGACGATAAAGAAAACAAAAGAAGCAAGTATGTGTAGAGCATATTATACATTTCCTCTGCGAGTCAGCCACAGGTTCTCCAGCAGAGGATCACTTAGAAGTACTTCCAGTATTATTGATTATTCCCAGCTCTCTTGATCTCTCTAAGTCATTTTGACCTGAGCCATTTTACTCCAGCAAGAGGTATAATTAAACAGGATTCAGTGGACATGGAATCAATGTCTCTGCATGCTTTCCAGAGGACAGCACACTTAAAATAGGCTCTTAGAAATTGTCTGCCTCTTTAAAGGATATGAGGCCCCTAGAAATTGTCTGCCTCTTTAAAGGACAGGGTAGGAGTTGTTTCCCTCACCTTACATTTGTGGATTAAAATGTTTTAAATAAAAGAATGAAATTGACTAATGAAATGAAATGTCTAAAGACTATTATGTGCCTTAGAGGTTGGTACCATGTAAAAATATAAAAAGAATGTTCTTTTGAGTAATAATTATTATGTGGACATAGTAACATTGGGAAGCAAGGTTAATAACTGACCGGTTGAAGAGTTTGTGTCAATCTGATTTAGACTGCCCACAGTAATTAAAAGTCTGTCTCTTATTATGGCAGTCATTCTCAGAGCTTCTTGACCTGTTTCTCAGCAGCTTGCATTGTAAAGCTGAAATTGAGAAGGAACAGAGAAGCTCACTCAAGATTTGTGATGAATGAGGCATGGAATCTTTTGCTTTTGCATGTTGGGTCTCTCTTTCCATTTCTTCCCCACTGAGAGACCCAGGGTAGAACGTTTATTGAATGCATGCCACCTTTTCCAAAAAGGTGTGGTTCGTATCTTTCCATCTTTTCTATAATTGGTTCATAGCAAGTTGTGACTGTGCACCTTCTATTGAATGCAAGTTGAAATTTCTGTCATATTTTGGGTCTCCCTTTAGTTCCTGGCTTCCCTTACCCTACTGCAGCCACCACGGCAGCCGCTTTCAGAGGAGCCCATTTGAGGGGCAGAGGGCGGACAGTATATGGTGCAGTCCGAGCGGTACCTCCAACAGCCATCCCCGCCTATCCAGGGTAAGCGTTAGATTCCAAAATCAGTATGTTTCTAAAATAAGCAGTTGGACCAAAAAAGAATACCATGGCCCTTTCATAACTTCTGGGATGTTGCCGTGTCACAGAGTAGGCATTCAGTGAATATTTGCAAATTAACAGATTAGATGACAAAAAACAAAATATACCATCATCAGAATGTGACAAACTGTCAATTCATTATAAGTCTTCATTTTGGCCACCTTAAGCCCTCATGGTAATGGCTTAAGACAGTAGCCAGAACCGTCTTGTGTTTACTAGCAGTGTGTTGGCATGAAGTTCACTCAGAAGCGCACGAATATGGATTAACATTACTGCAGAGAACCAAAAGAGGAGCTCAAGATTGTAGTACAAGCCTGCATCTGCTGTGTTCACCTCCTTATCACCACCCCGTGTTGGGGCAGAGGCTGTCACATGTGTCCTCCCCTTTGGTTTCACTGCCTGGGTGGTGAGCAGCAGAGCTAGTTACCCACAATGGATTTGCTTTCTTTGTAGGAAACGGATTAAAAGAGGTTAATTCTAAGATGAACCAAGTCCAATTGAATCAAGGGAGAAAGGGAGAAGTAGGAAGAATTAAACTGCAGTTGGCTTCTGAATGATGGTAAAACAGCGACTGTAGCTGAGCATCCTTCACCGTTTGATTTTTTTATGGAGGGTGTCTCATGCAGTGGAATGATTCCATAGCAACAAATAAATCCTTTGCTACTGAATGGGGAAAAGGAGTGAAGATGGCAGGTTTTGTTTTTAGGGGTTTCTCAGTGTCAGCCTAAAATGCAAATTTTTATAGAGTGGTCTTTCATGAGTCAGTTGTACCAAGGACTTCCTCATCAAAGATGTGACATTTCTCTTCACCTTTTCTCTGCCAGATAATGTCAATATGACATATTTTTTTTTGTATTCTTACGGAGGAATAAGTAGCAGCAGAGAAGCTTGTTGGCTGCTACTTAGTTAAAATATAAAGGGAAGGAACCTCCTTTGTATGTCCTTTTCTGACAGCAAAATTGGCTTAGCCTTGAGGTGTACTAATTTAGCATTCATTCATTCATTCATTCATAGACCAAATGGATGTACCATTAGAAGTTCTCCATTCCACAGAGTTAAAACATTTTTATTAGACAAGGTATGTTGAAGTGGGCAGGCTCCAAAAGACACTGGAAGGGAACTGCTTCAGAAATTAACTTTTGTTTGGAGTTTGTAGACATTTAAATCACATGCATTCCATCATCTCCATCTTATGCCATTACTTACTTTTATTTTAATCCTTTTTTCTCTCAACTTGACCTTTGACCTTCAACCTCTGACATCTCTTTAAAGAAGTGAATATGCAGTATTATTTCATCAAGAAATACTCAAATGAAACATTAAAAGGAACCTTTTGGAAGTTTTACACACTAGGAAAATTGTTTGTGAAATGTCTTCCGTTGTAATCCAAGAGAATTTACTGTCATATTTGCAAAGAGAGACTACTCACCAGAAACATGGGACTTCCTTATTTTGTAACATTGCTGAATTACTTTATAAAGTGGTTGAATTTAGTCCTGTTCAATGTAGTCGTTTCAGTATATTGACCAAACTTGAGAACCCATTCTCTACCAAGTCTGTGTCAGGTATATATTTGCTCAAAGATATTTTATCTTTATGTCTAATCATATCAATTTCTGTGCATTACATTGAACACTGATTTCCCATGTTTTCTTTTTATTAACTAAACCACCTGTTTACATGGAAGATGGCAAGGAATAAGTCCAGTATTTCATGGGAATGGCCTAGAATTGCTTTTCAGCTTAGTAAACTAATTTCATCATTAATCATTACGTTTCTAGCCTCCTTGTGGCATTTGATACAGGGAATATTGGGATTCTTCTAGAACGTAGATGAATATTCCCAATAAGTTATTTGACTTAGGGTAAAATGTATTCGTGTTTTTAATGCCAACCCTTCTTTATAGAAGGCTTATTTGTAAATCTTTGCCTATATCCCCTTACTAAGATCTTTGAAGTTTAATTAATCACCACTTGGTCTCAGTGCTTTCCATTTTATCAGCCTTCTCATTTTGAACAAGTTGTTTTTTTCCTTAAAATGCAGCTGAGAGGCAGATTACTTTCTAATATCAGACTTTAACTGCAACTGGAGACTATGAAAATGAATGGGACTTAGCTAAATGAACATCAGAGATGAGTTTGATTTGCCTTTTGTGTGATACAAGGGCATAGCATATTTGGGGCATTCCAAAATGTGACCATGCTATCCTGTAAATACAACCAAATGTCATTGGAAATAGAATTAAGAAACATTCCACCTACCTATAAGAAATAAGTTATTTCATATTCAAGTTAAAAATATGATTTGATGACTTTACTTGTCAGCTTGTTTATTGTAACAGAGAAGGTAGTGGTGAAAATTTCCAGCTTGTTTAGTTGAATAACCAATAAACAGATCATCTAAATTAAAACAATCTGATCTTGACTTCACAGAGATGAAGAAGAAAGTTTTATCTTTTATCTCTACTGCTATTCCATGTCCTTTGGTCCCAAAATAATGTTTTGGGGAAAGTCTGTATAAGTCTGTATGCACAAAGGTACCTCAGAAGGTTGGAAATCTATACTTAAGAATATAGTGTTGCTTAGGTTTTGTTTTTTTTTTTTTTTTAAAGTCATGCATTGTCTGTTTGCTACAAATTCATTATCTAAACAGGAAAATAAACCCTTCTATTCTTAACCAGCTACCTTCTCAGATGTATTCTTTTAAATAAGACAGGGTGATCTTTGGTCAAGCCCAGAACTTCAGTTATCAATTGTATTTTTCAGAATTCCATGAATACTCTTATAGTCAAAAAAGAACCCTTAAAATCTTCCAGTTACTCCTTCCCACTCTGGATTATATTGTTACTATCTGGGATCCCCACTGCACCTTTCAATTCTTGGACCTTGGACCAATCACCTTAACCTTTAGCTCATTATCTCTGCTTGTGAAAGCAATGCATTGTGGGTATTTTTGGTTGTGTTTTTTTTTTAATTACATTTCTCTGTTTACTTTGGTCAGAATTGATTGACTTGTTTTTCTGAGGTGTTGCATTGGTTCTTAAAATGCTGAATAATAATACTTTGCATGCTTGTGTGATCAGCCAAATCTTATCGCATGTCTAATGTGCAGGGTAAAAAGCAGGTGATGTATGGATATCAGAAAAACATTTACATATTATTACAATACTGAAAACAAAATACTTAAACGTAATGTAAAAACATACTTTGCATACAGGCCCTGCCCTAGTGGAATTCTTTGGGTTCAGTTTTTCATGTTAAACTCCTCTTCACCCCTACCCTACTTTGTAAGCTCTTTAAAAAGAAACTTCCTCCTAGGGCAAGCTTATTTTTAAAAATACTCCATATACAAAAAGTTATTTCCAAGCCAGCAGATTTTGGATAGATATAATAGGCTCTTCTAGGAGTGCTTTTTATTGTGTGAATCCTACTTTAATTACCAAATATCCAGGTTGCGCATTCTAGTTTTGCACACCTTTCCCTCTCCTCGCATGTCCTGGAGCTGTGTAACCTTCGTGTGCACTTTCACATTTTCTCACCAACTTGCCGAGGCCCCAAGCCCAGGTTATGTATTCATACATCACCTGCCTGTGTAGAGCGCATGTGCATGCTGCCGTCCTCAATAACCGGAATGTGTTTCTGTTCTTTTGTTTTTTTTGTTTTTGTTTTTGTGTGGATTTTCTGCAGTGTGGTTTACCAGGACGGATTTTACGGTGCTGACCTCTATGTAAGTACACACACTGGGGCCTTCTCGACCCCATCCCCTGACAAGCCAGCCTTTTTTTTTCTGTTTCTTTGGTTTGGTTTGGTTTTTTTCCTTTTAATTTATTTAATTTTTATTTTCTTTTTCCTTGTGGATATATATATATATATATTTATATATTTAAGAATGCAAGCATGCTTCTCTGCCACTGCGCTTGCCCCTGGGTGCAAAAACTAAGCCTTTGGGTTTCCTGATCATTGCAAGGGTCAGTCTACTGGACATATTCTTTTCCCTTCCCTATACCCACAGATGTTCTGTGGATCATTAATTTACTTGTGAGATGATCAGCAGGTTTAAAGTCTTTTATTATTGTCGTGTCATTTGCATACATAAATAACAGGACTAGCTTAACCTTAAACCAGCTCTTTCCCTTTTCTGCTTTTCTTCTCATTTCACATCCCTCTTTAGATCATTAGAGCTGTGATTTAGAGGTTAATAAGCTTTCTGAACTGTACATTTTCCTATTTTACCTACTTTGAGAGAACATGACCTTGTGATAGCCAAATAAGGAACCGATGCCAGCAAAGAGTGTGTAGTAATGAGAAAACGCCAGATATTTAGTTCTTAAAAGCCATTGGAGGAAATGAGTAGCATAATCAGCAACCCAGACTCTTCTTACAGCTATTTGACTATCATAGATTTGCTGACTCTACTAGCCATAGTAATATGGACTCCATTATTTAAACTGTCTAGCTATCACTAAAGTTCCATGATTGGTTTGTCACATATTATTTAAAATGTGGACAAAGTGATATAATTGACAAAGTACAAGTTTTTGAGTTTTGAAGTCTTTTATCATGACCTCTCCAGATGGACTTTTTCTGAATGCAAGCTTGATTTAGTCGCTCAAGTCATCAAGGGAAAATTTTTATAAGAAAAACTTGTCAGCATGAAATGATTCTGTGGGGATAGGTTAAAATTGTCTAGAAATACTTTCTCCACCCTTACTTTCCAAAATCAATAAGAGGTCCTTTTTAGTGAACTGTTTCCACAGTCTACCAGAGATTCACAAGCAACCTAAAAAAGTTAATGCACTTTCAGAATGCACTCAGAGGTTTTGCGTTTTGCAGGAAGTAGAGATGGGATGATACAGTTCTTCGAAATACAGGTGACTCACCTGTACTACTTAGCATAGGCCTGTAAGGTATGCCTTAATTTAATAACTACTTGAAGGAACCTCAGCTATGATTTGGTCCAACCTCCTAACTTACAGATATATTTCTCAGAGACTTACCCAGAACTACATAAATTATTAATAGTCAGGCATAAAACCCAACCAATCCATATTTCATTACCTCTCTTTGTACTTTAATTAAAATCCACCTCTTTCCTCAAAATATTTTCAACAAGTAATGAAAGATATCTTTTTTCCTATGTTCACAGTGAAGCTTGAGAACTGGGGAATCTCCTACTTTTACACCAGATTACATATTTCTAAATACACAGACTTACATATGATGTTAGCATGTACATTCTCCCATATACATTAGTGTCCATATTCTCATGAAACTCATCTTTGTTATTTAACTTGTTTTCTTGAAATCTGATCTATTAGAACAAGATTTTCCATTTGAGTTATTTCTTAAATCAAGTTTTTTTCTCTAATGTGTTTCTTATTTGAGGATTTATTTTTCTTAAATACAACCTATTTATGTCTTATTAAGACTTGCCTACTTTGGGCCGGGCACAGTGGCTCAGGCCTGTAATCCCAGCACTTTGGGAGGCCGAGGCGGGCAGATCATGAGGTCAGGAGATGGAGACCATCCTGGCTAACATGGTGAAACCCTGTCTCTACTAAAAATACAAAAAATTAGCCAGGCGTGGTGGCGGGCGCCTGTAGTCCCAGCTACTCGGGAGGCTGATGTAGGAGAATGGCATGAACCTGGGAGGCAGAGCTTACAGTGAGCTGAGATCGTGCCACTACAGTCCAGCCTGGGTGACAGAGTGAGACTCCGTCTCAAAAAAAAAAAAAGACTTGCCTACTTTGGCCAGGCATCATCGCTCACGTGTGTAATCGCAGCACTTTGGGAGGCCGAGGCAGGGGGATCACTTGAAGTCAGGAGTACGAGACCAGCCTGGCCAAGATGGCGAAACCCCATCTCTACTAAAAATACAAAAATTAGCCAGGCGTGGTGGCACACGCTTGTAGTTTCAGCTACTTGGGAGGCCAAGGCAGGAGAATCACTTGAACCCTGGAGGCAGAGGTTGCAGTGAGCCGAGATTGCACCACTGCACTCCAGCCTGGCTGACAGAGCTAGACTTCGTCTCAAAAAAAAAAAAAAAAAAAAAAAAAAAAAGACTTGTCTACTTCAAACTTGTTAAGTCAACCAACCCAATTTTTTAATAGTTATCTTACTTCCTTACTTTACAATGTAAGATTTTATTGAGACAGATGATTTTTCTGTTCCTGTTAATAAAATACTCTTGGTTTTTTTTTTTTAATCTACTAACTGGATTACCTTGCTGAGCTAAACACAAGTAATTCAGTGATCTTGCTGAAATAATTTTTTTTGACCAGTGGCCCCTTGTTAATGAAAGTAATTAATAGTAATGTTATTATTTCTTAGTTCTTATCTTAAAGCAGAGTTACTTAGAGAAAAAAAGGTTGGTCACTAGTGCTGAAATAATATCCATGCCCCTACATGAAAAGCAAGAATACTTTATGAGGTAACTACTGAGTTAGGCCTAATACAACTGTTGCTTTTAAAACTGTGTGTTCTGTATTCCACATGTGAGGGAGCAAAGGATACTTCTTCAAAAACACACAGACAACAAAACACTATCATTTTTGCCTTGAGTTTGTTCTGCTTCTCTCCATACATTTCCCATCTGTGGAAATCTGTCAGCATACATTTAGTTCTTATTTCCTCCGAAAGGCATATTAGAAATAGAAGGAATAGAGAGTTTAGTATGAAAAGTGCACCGAATCGGAGCTTGAAGAGAAGACACAAGGGAAAAGATTTTAAATTGCTGGTTATGCTTAAGTTAAATGAATTTAGGCTATTAATTGTGCAAGGTTTTTGTAATCCCTTTCACAGTCCCATTCTTAGACAGTGATTCCTGCTAGCCATTTACTTTCTGTTTCTTTTATGGCACATTCCTCTCTGGAGAACTGATCTAGCAATTCTGTTCCTAGTTTGTAAAAAGACCTACCGTGATAGGATTTGGGAGTGTGGCAGCTAGATTATGTATCCAGCCCTCCCTCTTCTTTTTTGGCCAGTAGAAAAGGCATAGTTCGCCCTAATTCACTTTTTAAATGGGTTAACAAACTGCTCCTAAATCACCTCCTGTGAAAAGCATGCTTGCATCCAAAGGAAAGAAAAGGCTGGTGGGCCCCTTAGTGGGCTTTTTGTATGATTGTTTTCCTTCCACAGCTGTGTTTTTTGAACTGCTCTTCCTGTGTTCTGTTATAGAATAGTCTTACAGGAACCAATCATTAGCGCTAAAATACCTCAGGTAGGAGTGCCAGTGTGACCTGCCAATCAATCAGATTGTGGATTGCAGTGAAAAAATTGAATTATACTAACCATTCCAGCTCCACGTTAGAGATGGGAACAGAGGCTTTTTTGGACAATCAAGACTTGTGAGCGTGTGATCTAAGCCCTGCTACCTCAGCAGTGCCCACAGTCACATTCCGTACATAATGGCACTTCCTCTAAAATTAAGTGCTCCTGTCCTCTTGACACATATCCCAGCCAGGTGTGTAATATGCACTGTCCCATCACTGCCACCTCTTTTAATCTGTCAGTCACATGTACCTGTGGTATTTAAACTGTTTTTTTATATTTAGATCTTAGCAGTTGGGGACATTTTCTTACTACTATAAATTTAGAAAAGAGAAAAAAGAGGAAGTAGAACTGTACAAATAGGATTTCTGAATCCCACATTGGGCCCTGTAGTGAGATACCAGTTGTAATTGGACTGTGCTGCTACATAAGTTTGAAGTTGCCTTAAAAATCTAGACATATGGGACTCAAACATTGAGACATGCATTTCCCTTGGCCTCTTCTCCTTTCACCTAAGAAGATCAGTGAGTTCATTTGGATAATAGCATACTTGTTAGAAGGATTGCTGATAGCTGGATGCTAGGAGAAAGAAAATAGTCGATGGCTTTTCACAATCCAGTTTATTTATGTGGCTACCCAGCAAGATTTTGGAAATGAACTAATTTGGGGAGATGTGGAATAATAATGTTTGAAAGGTTTGATTATTGAAAATCGTCTCTCATCTACCATAGAAATAATAGGTGGAAGACATCAGGTTGATCATAGCAATTTTTTCCCTTAACCCCAATTTTAAACAATAATAAGATAAAATTTAAATACTTTAAAATTTTTTTCATAAGTACTTTTCAAAGGAGACAGAGCTCAATCAAAAGCAGTGACGGTATCACCATTATTGTAAGTTTGTGTGTTACTCACATTTAATCAGTGATGCCATTTTGCCACAAAAGAACTCTATAATATCTCCTAGAACCATGGTTCTTAGCAGGGGTGGGGAGGTGGTGAGGAAAAAGAGGGAGTTAGATTCATCCAAGGATAAATAAAGTGATTCCTGGAGGCCCAGCATTAAACCCACGCTAGTTGGAATAGATCTCTGCTCTGCTGTAGTGATTTTCAGCATCACACCTGCCATTCCTTACCCACCCCCTGCCGCCATCCCCCAACCCTCTGCTCTATTGATCTATACACTACATGTAGGTAACAAGCTTTCATTTTGTCTGCTGGTCTTGAAATACACACTCTCCTCCTCAGTGTCACATAATGTCATTGTCTTCCGGGTAGAAAGAAGGTGTCTTGACATCACATGCTCACCAAAGTCCTGTTTTAATGTAAACCTAAAACAAAAATATAATAAAATTAAAAGCTAGGTTAAAATCAAGACAAGGCAAAAGTCTGCCAGTGTGAGATTAAACTAATAAATATGCAGATAAAGGTCAGATATAGGAGGGATTATATTCTATTGTATTTTGCTCTAGTTTAAAACCCAGCTACAGAACTGTGCCGAAAGATCATGTGGTCAACGTGGCAACATCATAAAGTTAATTTGATGATAAAATTGGCTCAGAGCAGAGTAGAAAAGCCCTAGGAGATGACATTGAGCCATGAAAAACTGAGACTTTAACAACTGCAGAAAACACTGGAAAGGATCTTAAAGCCAACTTTTCAAAGGCATTTTCCTTTGAAGAAGCTGGAACTTGAAGTCAGAGATAGGTTACAGATATGTGAAAAAGTAAAATTCCTAAACACAGGAAATATTTTAGCAGAATGCTGTGGATTAGAATATACGGTTGTTGACAGAGGGCGAGCATACATGTGAGTGCTGTGGGTCAGGACTGAATTATATTGCCAGTGTCAGGCAGGTTGAATAGGGGAGCGATGAAGCACTGGGCAGCCCCACTGGGGACACCAGGTATCATTCAGAATGAATTGCAAAGGAATAAGAATAATTCTTTTTAAAGGGGCATGTGTGTATCTGAATCAAGCTTAGCCAAGCCAAATTTATCCAGCTATCAGAGTTCCAAAAAGCCGTCCGTGTGTGCCCTCCTACATTAGGGTGTGCTGTGGCCATGCTAATCCCCATTTTTTGTTTTATTTCAAATCACACACAGATAGAATCTGCAAACTGCTTCAGATCAAACAGGTCTGATTGTGTGTAAATACATATGTCCTTTTTAATTTTTATTATTAATGGTTGCTTCAGTTTTGCATCAGTGCATGGTTAAAAGCAATACACATCAGCTATTTCATGACTTCATATCTCCAAATGAATTATTTCTCCTCTTTTTTTGTTTGTTTGTTTGTGCAGTCAGCTGAAGAAATGTTAACATCTCACTCTAAATCTCTCAGTGGAGTCTCTGTTCCCTTCTCTGATATAACAGATGGGTTACTGCTTGTTATAATTATTAACATTGTGGTGTGGGCCAGGGCTAGGGTGGGCAAGATTGACTATTTCTTTGGGCTGGGGAGGGGCCAGTCGTTAGGGTATGGAATGTTAACTCAAGTGGTGACTGACTGTTTCCGTAATACCAGGTCGTTGTGGCTGCACGCTCTAGTAATTGAGGCTGTGTACTTCACCGAGCTTGTGGTAGAGCCTAGGGCAAACCGCTGTCCCAAGAGAATGCTGGGATAGATAGAGTTAGCCAATACGAGTCTGAACGTGGTGATTTTGCTGGTTGTTTAGCTCCAGATGTTGGCATGCTTAGTTTTTAATGTGATTAATAAATGTGGCGCCATATCCCTCCCCACGCCTGAACCCTGTCTCTTCTACCTCCTTCCCACCCTTGTTCTTTTTGAAAAACTTAAGAAACAGTAATGAAAACCTTGGTGTTTCAAACTGCACTTTGTTCTCATGTTTTATAAAAGCCTTTAGATTTGCTAGTAAGAGTGAAAGCTGAAAAAACGGTTTCTCAGCCTGAAATTTCTATGCACTTTGAAATCTGGAATAGAAATAAATATATCTGAATTTTCTTTTTCTCACATTTTGTGATATGTTTTGTTGAATAAAGCAGCAAAAATACTTTCGAGTAAGTGTATGTGTGTGTGTGCGTGTGTGTGTGTAAGAGAGAGAGAGAGGAATACATCCATGATACACAATTAATTTTTCTACTTTTGGAGTAGTCATTAGTGAATTACCAAGTTAGTTTAGTAGGATATTGCCTATCTATCCTAAAATAGTTCATCTTTTAAAGGTTTCTCTGTAATGCCATTATTATAAAGTAATCAGGAGAATAATCATGTTAAAGTCATCTGCTTTAAAAAAAACTCTTCATGTGTTTTTTCTTAGTGCTGATATTCTTGAGCCTTTTGTTTTCAGTAAAGTATTTGCCAACCCTGTTCTGTTTTCTTCCACTTGAAAAGCAGAGAACTTCATCATGTTTAAACTTCAAAGTCAGACTTGACTTATCAAAGAAGGAAACCGCTACAGATAGATTCTCTCCATCTCCTTCTGGATTGGAAGGAAGATTCTTTTCCATAGTCTGATCCATTTGAATTGTTTTGATTAGCAGTAACATTACTCCTAAACCACCAAGGTTCCTATGGCTTCCTGTAGGCCTAGGAAAATGAGGGGAAATTGGTTCTGTCAGCAACCTCACTTAGAACCTGTTTTTTAAGAATACAGCTTAAAGCCATGATTTGATAGAATACTCAGAGATCGTACCTCCAGTACCTCACTCAGTCTTCCTGAGAGTCAGGTGTGAAACCTACCCTTGGTTGAGTACTTTTGAACCTCAGTATCCCTTTGCAAGAATTTATACCTCTGCCGTATGGCATAAGACTTCAGTTTTTAATTTTTTTACCTAGGTAAACATGAATTGGGCTTTAACTGCTTTTGTTGCCTTAACTTTAAAATTTTTTTAATGTTACTTTGATGGTTGGAGTAATACTAAAGAGTAAAATGCTGAATTACCCTTGTTTGCAAAGAAGTTTTACTAAATAGCCCTGCTGTAACTTTACACTAGCAAACAAATTCTAAACTAATGGAACCATCTCTAGTTATAATGAAAAATTACTAGGGTTCATTTTAGTGTTAAAATTCCAACTGTAATTAACATTTGCTTTGTTTAACAAATGCTTAAAAAAAAAAAAGGTAAAGAAATACTTTAGTTAGTTTAATTATGTTGTGGCCAGGATTTACAGCTTTGCCCAGATCCTGGCTAGAATTCCAAGGAACCATGTTGATCAGAAACGGCCCCCAAGGGTGCTTCCTGCCATGTTCCCATTCATTACCATTTCATTGTCAGTGTTTGGTAATATTAATTAGAGTCTTCATATATCTCTGGAAGAATTCGTAATTAAGAAGGAAATGTTTACTTTCTAAGTCACTCATTTGAAAAACAAAGGAGGAATAATGTATAACCACTGAAAGCCAGTCAGGGATTTTTTTAAGTACATTTGAAACTACCCTGACTTCAAGCAGCATAAACTTGAAGAGCAGGAATAAATTTCCCTCACAATGCAGTTTCTTCATTTAGAGAAAGCATAAATTATATAAGGAAGAAGCAAAAGGCTTTAGAAGCTCATAAGAAATTATAGGTATTTCTAAAATAAGGGGTAACAAATAAAAGAAGCAAGCTAGGACTTGCCATGCAAGATGGTTAAGAAGAACAGGGGTCCCCTTAGAAAATAGTTGTTCTCAATCCCAAGAAATGATACAGAAGTAAATTTGAAATTTCTTTTGTAGATTTAGAAAAATCGAACATTTGAAAAAATAGGAAGTAGAAAGCACAGGGCAGAAACCTTCAGATATCCATGAGAAATGAGCACATTTTATCCACAGAAATAAAATGTTTATGCTATTGTTCACTACTGAAATGATGTTCAGTTGGGCCAGTTGAACATAGTTGTTTTTGATAGTGAAAGGCCAATAATAAAAATTTGCATCTGAATTACGTTTAGGTAAAATAGATGAATTCTATTTCATAAATAATAAAAAGTAGAGTTTGCCACTTTTAAAAATATCCTGTCTCATGTGGCAAGCATTTGTTGTTGTGATTGTCTCTTGAAATGCTTTCTGAAAGAGTGCATGATTCACCCTGATAGTGAAAACCTTTTGTATATTTGAGTTATCTAAACTGAGTTGAAATAGAAGGATGTGATGGTTTGAAATTCTTTAGGACTGAGAGGATATTTGGACTATTGGAAGAAAAGCTCAGAGTCTACTGTAAGATTAATATGTAAGAATCTCAAAACCTTTTAGGGAAGGAAAATGCAGTTAAGTGCTAGAAGCAGGGTTCCTGATCTATTTGAATCCAGCCAAAGAATCCTCAGAAATTTGTAATTGATTTGCTCAAGTATGAAATGTAGATCTGAGTTGGCAAACTTTCCGTAAAGGGCCAAGTGGTAAATATTTTTGGCTTTGTAGGACATTGGTCTCTGTCACAAGTACTTTCAAAAACAGGTGGCAAGCTGCATTGGCTCACAGGCCAGAGTTTGCTGACCCCTGATCTACATTGTTTTTCCTTCTAAATATTACCTGATTATCTTAGCTTCTTGGCAAACATGCTAGGCCGGATGGAGCAGAGGTTTCTGTTACATGCTGTAGTCTCTTATTAATGAATCAATCCAAGAACACGTTAGAGAATCTGAAGTCAACACATACAGATTTCATATATTTTAACTTTATAATTTATATTTCTTGTCAGAGTGCTCCCAACTTGCTGTAAATATTTTCGCTTTTGAAAGTTCCAACAAAGACTGTGAAGTAAGACAGATTCAAAATCATATCTTCATTCCTTGTATTTAACAGGTACTACCAAACTTTACTTTTAATACTATCACAAATTGGAAAGCAAATCCTTGCATATCGTAGGGCTTAATTTTTTATTGGAGGAATAATAACATGCAGACTGATGCAGTTTGAAACATTTTCTTCCCATGTGTGTGTCTATGTTTGTGTCAGTCCCTGTGTCTACATGTGTGTACGTCTGTGTGTGGGCGGGTGTGTGTTTTTCTGTACACCTGGGGGGAGAGGTATCTGTAAAGTCAGTTCTCTTCTCTCCTGTAGGGTGGATATGCAGCCTACAGATATGCACAGCCTGCTACTGCAACCGCAGCCACCGCTGCTGCAGCCGCTGCAGCCGCTTACAGTGACGGGTATGTACAGAGACAGTGGTGAGCTTTGGGATGCATGAGAGCTGTTCCATCCCAAAATGTCACCCATTTTCCTCCCTTCACCATTTCCACAGCAGCTCTTAGCACATCGGGCATCTTGCCAGCCTGGGCTTTCTGCAGACCTCTTGATGGCCTCTGTCATGCCTAAAGCACAAGGCACCGACTCTGTCCTCCACTCCCTCTTTCTTGTTCTCATCTCTTCTTTGACTTTGACTCCAGTCCCTCTCTTCCTCATCTCCAACTCCTTTCTTTTCCATTTTATGGAAGTACTTCAGATTTTTTTCAGTTATTGCATTTGGGAGTAGAAATAGAAAGGTTTTTTCCTATTCCTTGTAATTCCAGTTTCCTTATGATAATCCAAGACCAAGTGACTCACAAGTCTTAAAGCACAGTAATCCCTTTAATTTTTTTAGATCATACACTTTTCTTTATCTGTCTGATTGTGTTTCTTCTTTCCAGTTATGGCAGGGTGTACACAGCCGACCCCTACCATGCCCTTGCCCCTGCCGCTAGCTATGGAGTTGGCGCTGTGGTAAGTATATAATATACCATTGCTTTATAAAACCATTTCATTCCTTCTTTTACCCGTAGACTACAGAAGATCTAGGGAGGTAGTAAATTCAGCCTTTCATCCACCATCAAGGTATTAAAGCCACATAGATCTACCTGGAAGTTTCATGTCACCCTCTTTATTTGTGTGTTATTATAATGTGAGCCACATGGCCTAGTTAAGGGCAGCAGAAAGGAATGATCATTGATAATATGCCCCGAGTAGTGGCATGATTTGCGAGAGAAATAGGGGAACTGGTGAATGTTTTCTATTGGTTCAAATGTTGAGTGCATACCTGTGGCATAGTTTCATTGATAGGTGTTGGCAAAGGAGCATGGAGCATAAGGCTGTAGTATTCACAGTAAGCTTTTCAAAAACTTAAGTTTCAAATGCAAATCTAAAGGATGTCTCTGCTCTTCCTAAGCCTTCTGGTAGATAGTACTAGAAATTCCTAAGTGAATGCTTTATAGGATATTTTATTATTGATTATTGATAACAATTGTGGCAAAATATGGTGTTGTTGATAGAAGTATCGAAGAAGTCCATAGAACTAGCATAATTTCTTCTGACCAACCACCTCACTGCAGTATTATTGTGTTGGCTTGGATGCCTCCAGTTTCAGTGATTAGGACTCACAGGCTGCAACAAAGACAGGCCATTCCACAGTGACACCTCTGCCAGGGCTTTCTCTCTAATCCAAAATGCAACTGGGCAACTACCTCTGGACATGGGTAGAGTTGTTTGAAAAGGAGACAGAATGAAATGTAAAATGTAAGACCTAAAGGAATATGAGAAAGCTACTTCTCACACCAAATTTCTACTGATGAAGATTTGTGGAAGGAAGTAATAGGGGGCCCTGAGGGAATATATGTTTATAAATGAAGTAGAGCATTACAATATAACGGCAGTGGTAGAAGTGCCTGAGGTTGTATTTCGTCCTAAAATGATATAAGTCCTATGCTAAAAGAATGACCTGAGAAAGATGCATTCCTGGGAAACTTCTAATTGAAAGAGATAAGCCATTAGATAAAGTCATTTGATAAACATAAAGGAATAAAGCCTAGTTAAAACCCCAGCTAGATATGTAAATGTGAATATGTCAAGAAACAGCCTAGTTGGTGTGCTTCGTAGATGATAGAGGAAACAGACTTTATTAAAGACTGGCTCAGGTTTAGATGTGGCACCATCTCAAACATGGGCTGTGACCACACATGGCAGGGATCGTGTCAGAAGTAACGTGCACTGCCGATGGGTCATATGTGAGAAGGAGAAACTGGTGATCTGTTTTCCACCAGGATTATAAGGCTGTATCAAGGTAAACAAAAACCTGTGCTTTTAAAAATCAAACTCTTTGCGGAACTTGTTTTCAACTGTGTATTGTTTCCCTTCTGTGCTAATTCATGTAAATAATGAAATAAAATGTCGTCATACTCTCCTTGAGAATATCAGGTCAGCAATAAATGTGTTGGGCTCTGGTCTGAGCACCTTAGAAGCAGAAGTTGGTTTCCTGACTTCACTGCACAAGGCAATGCTTGATCAGTTGCTTTGAGGCTTCGAAGCAGGCTGTTTCTAGATCCCTCTCTGGACATTTTTCTTCACTGTTAATGCTTCTCTCATCAACCTTTTAATTATTTTTATCTCTTTAATTACTGCAGGCGAGTTTATACCGAGGTGGCTACAGCCGATTTGCCCCCTACTGAAGTGACGTGAGACCCCTGCAAATGGGACAGCCCCCCAGTTCATGAGGCCTGGCTATTGCAATATTTACTAGTAGAGGAACTCTATAGCAAGATGAAGAGGAAAAACAAACAAACAAACAAAAAAAAACACAAAAAAAGAAAGAATACTTTTTTATACCTCACTATGTTCTTTGAATATGTATTTTTCCTTTAAATTTCTGCCTTTAATTCTTTTGTTCCAAAGATTGTGCATTTTTTTCTTTTTTTTTTTAAACTGTGGTAAAAAAAAAAAAAATAATGCATTTCCATGTCTGTATGTCCGTGCTTAGCTTATTCTATCAATCACGGAAGAGGCAGTCAAGGAGGAAGGAGAGACATTAGGAGCCGATAAATGCATCTGATCAGAAATCAGCAGACAGAATTACCAAAGTGTATCTGGTGCTGAATGACTGGGGGACAAGCAGAAGTGGAAGAGATCTTTCTGCAACAGGATATTCTTCTAGTCTTCTGAGTTTCTGGTCTTTGACAGGCAATTCTGGTTGGCTGTGGCTGGAATCCACATGCTGATAGATAGGAATTTGTGCTTACAAAGCAGGAGAATTAAAAAGACGCTTTCCTCTCCTCTTCCCTCCTGTCTTCTCCGTTCTTTTTACAATCATCTTACACGCACAGCCTGAGACAGCTGGCATAGTTTTTGGAATTATAGTATTGATATTTCCAAACGTGCTCTCAGACAGTGGATAATAAACACCTCATTAGGAAACCGATCTCAGAATGAACTCTGGAGTATGAAAAAGATCATTTCTTTTTGTTCCTGTAACCTAGCATTCCTTCTAGGCTTCTTCTCCTTTAATTGAACCACAGCTTAGCTCATGTATTCTTTTATTAACACCCTGCTCTCATGTCCATAAGATTCAGGAATTTAGGACCCAGGGACAGAAAAGTGAATAAGCCAGTGACCAGATTTCCCCCAGATGTCTTGAGGATTAGAAGTACAAATTGTTGACAGCCATTAAAGAGGGTGAGGAAGGGAAAAGGAATATTAGAAGATCTGGTATTTCTTACTTTTTTCTTGCCTCAGAAAGTACAAAGTTTAAAAAATAGAATAAAGAATCTGCTGGGGAAAGATAGAGTACCAGGTCCTAGGTCAGTAGTCCCTGGAAGTTTTGGTGATGAGGACATGGAAGGGCAGGCAGAGGCACTTTGTACTTGCTCCAAAGCCATAGGAATTTTCATCTTCCAGAGCCTTTATGAGTCACTTCTCTATCCACAGTCTTGAGCCTGTGGCTATCCCGCTGAGCTTCTCACTGTCCTCCAAAAACACCCCGCTGAGCACCCGGACCACTTTGTACACATTAACACTACAGGACATAAAATGCAGAGGCCCTGAGATTGCTGCCCTCCCATATTGGAAGGAGGGTCTGCGATGGCAAGGGTCTTCTATATCACCAGAAAGAGTCGCGCAGTGAGTCACTGCCGTTGCCATCTGGCTGTAATTTTCTATGTTATCAAGGTAGGAGGGAGTGTTTCTCTTCTAGCTGTTAGATAGAACTGATAAAAGCAAGTGTCCTACAGCATTTCCCAAATGAAGGCATTAGGAAATAGAAAAGCACGGTCTTTTTGGCTCCCTGGTCTAGTCACATTGGTACTAGGGTGACCTTTCACCCAAGGGACAGCTGCTAAAGGGAGTAATTCAGAGACATGGAGCTTCTGGTTATGGGTTTGTTTTGGGTTTGTTTTTAACTCCTGCCTCCACACATGTTCTTGACTGATAACTGACTCATGTCCCTGAATTAAAATGACTGACCTATGACAGCATCAAGCATTCTTTGTAAGCAGAGTGATATATCTGAGAGGGCGTTGACCTGTTGTGTAGAATACATATCCTTTCCCCCTTCAGAATCCTGTCTCGCCTCGTAACTGGGAGAGAGGCTGTGCCTGAAACTAGGGGCGATGTCAAGGAAGCTAGAGGCCTCGATGCAATTATTACTGACTCTGGGGAGGAAGACAGAGAATAAGGGGACACCAACTGCCCAGTCCACTGGCCATTTTTAAGGGTCCCCCCACCCCAAGCCAAAGTTTGGTTTGTTGCTGTTAAGACAATTTTTGTTGTATGTATATAAATATTTTAGTTAGAGGAGCGGGGAATGGGATGCGGGCTTTCACAGTTCTAGGGAATGGGGGCAGGGAGGATTTTGCTTTTGCTTTTGCTTTGAGGGAGAACTTTAGCTGACTAAAAAAACAGAAGTTTGGGGTCATGATCACAAAGGGGCCATTCCCAAAAGATGGCAAGCCACGTATTCAGTGGAGACTAGGCCAAATTCTAAATGGTTTTATCCATAGCAGGGGAGAATAGGAGAATGAGTTTAAGAGTTTTTCTCTTCTTTTTTCCTAGAAAGAGGTAAGGATAATGGGAAAGGTAGAGAAGGCGGCTCCCACAGACCTTTTAAGAGAGGCAGAATCTTGAGCTTGAGGCACCTTGAGTGCATCTCAGTTCAGCTGGTTCTGGCTGAGGCCTCCAAAGGCAAGCTCTGTGCTTTCCAGTGGTTTCTGCTGCATTTCCAGGGATGGTGTTTAACACCGCTTCCTCCAGCTCCCTTTTCTAAGAAAGAATAAATGGAGTTCTGCTTTTTATGAAAGGGTCTTTGGTTTTCAGTGTCAACACTGAGAATTGGGGCTCTTGCAAGCATCTGGATTTCACAGTATCAACCTCCCCGTCACCTTTTGAACTTTGAGACTCCGTACGGTCAACTTCACCAGAGGCAGGTTGCTCGAAGCAGCACTGCTTGTCTGTTCCTGACTCTGGTTCTCACTGTATTAAAAAAGAGAGTCAGAGGAGTCTGGCATTTCGTGAGTTTGTTAGAGGATGCTGGCTGATAATTCCAGAAAACTTACTGATGCTAAATCACAGTACATGCATGATTCTTTTTCAGCTTTACTATAGTTCATGACCTGGACTTTCTGTACTCTTGGAAGCTGGGCTCCTTAAAGGAGGCCTCTAGTGAACACCTTTATCTCCATGTCCCTCTTAGAGCCCAGAGAGCTGCCCATAGGCATTTTCCAGAATTCCTCATGTCACCTAGTTCAATTTCCATTAACTCAGATCAGCCATTGTGATTCACCATTTGTCAGGCTCTCAGGTTTAACAAAACCTACTATCACCATCATCCTTCAACAGCCACAGTCTGAATTGAGCCAACATTTTTTTTTCTTTGAGAAAGAAGTGGACTGGGGCACAACTTTTAGTCTGAGGGGAGCTAGTGGAAATCTAGACAATAGAAGTCATCGATAGCAGCTTTTCCTCAAATGTGTGACTCCTCAGGGGCTAAACTGCTCTTAGCTTAGAATTATGCTTTACTAGAGATCTAGCAGATAAGTGGGTTAATCACTACCATCCTGTAACTAGTTATATAGCTTCCAGACATGAGGGAGACATCAAACAGGGATGGAAGCAACCCCAAGGATATGCAAGAAGGGCATGATGAACCCCCTTCCCTCTGGCAGGAGAACAAGGCCAACCAAGGGACAGACTGGAAAGCACTTAGATGTTTAAGGAGGAGAAAGGGGAAGCTTTGACCAGTCCTTGCCTTTTGCCAAGTTCAGCCAGTTCTCCGCTGCTTGCAACCTCTAGCGCAGTAACATTTGCAGAATTGCAGATTTTCCCCCAGATACTAGGAGGAAAGGGACTTTGGGGGGTGGGGAAGGGGTCGTGGTGTTTTAAAAGCATAAGTTACCTGTTTGCACTGTTTTAAGATAGGAAAAAAAAATAGTGGGCAAGGTGAACATCAGACGTAAATTTGTGTGTTTTTATTTTGTCATGCTCTTGAAAATGTTTGACCATTTGTAGTATACACAGTGAAACTTGATTCTCTGTTGCATAAAACACTATATTTTTTTGGAAATGTTACTGTCCAAAAGCCTCTTCCCTCCCTTTCCTTTTCCTATGTACTTCCTTCATACTTGCTTTACTGATCAGCCAGGCAATAGCCATCCAAGAGCTAGAGCATGAAACAGGGCCCTTTCCAAGTAGGCTCTGGGTGTCCTAAGCCAGCGTGTGCCCTCTGGTTTAGTGAGTGTAATAGAGTCCCTGGCACCTTTCTTTGCAAATGAGGCTAACAGACCAGACTGCAGCAAGTTATCAGATTCCTCAATCAGATGCACTAGGAGTGAGGAGCCCAGGGATGGAGGGGGTTCCTGAAGTATTGCAGTTGGCTGTAGTAGCTGAGTTCTTTTCCATGTTACCGAAACTGTAGCCAGTTACAGTTTACTCAGGAAAACGGTAGATCAATTCAGCCATGGTAGTGCTGGTTGGCAGGGATTGGTAACGGAGAGAACTGCTCATCAGCCAAAACTCAAGCCTTGCCTTTTAGGAGGCCACCAGCAGAGGGACTTGGTCCTCCTTGTCTGGTACTTGTGTACATGCCGGTGACCTGAGGACTCCACTCACACTGGCGAGCAAAAAGGGAGCAGTGATTCTCTTTTCTCTCCCCACCCCCTGCCCTTTGTTACCAACACCAGTTTCCCAGGGGGTACATGAGTTTCTGAATTTTTAAAAAATGTTTTTGGTTTGGTTTTTCTGGGGACTGATAAGTGCTTTAAGCAATGTCCATACCCCGTCAAGACTCCCAGCTTAGTCATTTTCTTGTATTTTTCTGTTCACAGTATTTGTGTGTGTGCTTGTTTTGGCAGCTCATTTTGGCTGTATTATATATTGAGTGATGAATTGATCCTCTTTTTTCCCTAAGGGATATGAATTGTTTTTCTTGTGTTATATTCTGCTTGTGAATAGCTGGAGCAAACCTGGGGCTGACACGCGTAAGCTAGGGCTGCAAAGCGAGAAGAGAGCCGGTGGAGTGTACTTGTCCCTGACAGGCTGACCTACCTGAGTCTCTGAGCTTTTCAGTCCAAATCTTTGCAAGGCTCAAAATGCCACAGAACCTCTCCTCTTCTCCCCACTCCCCATGGCAGGGACCGGACCATCCCTACATGCAACATGCTGTTCCTCCAGCCCCTCCCATTGCCATGGCAAAACAGGTACCTTTGGGGCATGGGGGCATTACATGGGATGCTTGTGTAATCGACCACCTAGCCTTCTCTCTCCCCTCCCGTCCTCCCCCAGAATCACTTCCTAGGACACCCGAGCTGCTTGCCCAGGGTCCTGTTTCCCTGCTAACTCCAGAGAAGCATCCCAGGGCTTTGTGACAGTCTCTAATTCCCTTCCCTTCTCGTTAAGAATCATATTGTATAGTAGCTTTCAGACCATACAGTATTCATTGGGTTACTCCTATTATTATCAAGTAGCTGGAATTGTGAAGGTCGGAGTAGTTAGATCTTTAGCTTTTATTCCTTATTTTTTTGTATTACTCTCCATGTGTATAAATTATTGATCATGTTGCTGGCTTTTATAAACTCTAAGCGAAGGAGGAGCACTGCCTCAGCCTTTGCACATGGTAATGAAGCACTGTTTTTAAATAAAAGAGAGAAACACCATTCTTTGGGCTGTGTGTATTAATCCTCGTTCCCTGTTGCCTCTGCCTGAGGCTCCAAAGATACCACTTGGATTTGACTTTTTAAGCGGGGGGCGGGGGGGACAAGAAGGAAAAGTGCCAGGCGTTCTAAGGTGAGACGTTCTAAATGGTGATGAGAAGCCAGAAGGTAAGCGTGTGTCAGCTGCTCTCAGCTTCCCCAGCTGTGAACTCCAGTCTGTCCAAAAGCTGCTTCTGAAATCTTTCAGCTTCACTTCTTCACCGTCCACCCTCCCCTAGATTCAACTGCTGCCTTTACTGTACCACAGACACTGTCCTTGCCAGGGGCTGTGGCCCCACTTGACCTTATCAAAGTGTTATTTCCCTGCCTTGCCTCCTCTGTCCCTGCTGCCCCTGGCTCTCCGGCTGCCACCCAGGCTCCTTCACTTTTTGTTCAGCCATAGAAAATATGTCCTGCCTAGCCCTTTCCTCCCTGTTTCTTTTCTTTTTTTCCCCTTGAGACAGGGTCTCACTGTGTCGCCCAGGCTGGAGTGCAGTGGTGTGATCAAGGCTCACTGTAGCCTCAAACTCCTGGGCTCAAGTGATCCTCCCACCTCAGCCTCCCGAGAAGCTGGAACTACAGGTGCACGCCACCACACCCGGCAACATTTTTTGTAGAGATGGGGCTACACTGTGTTGCCCAGGCTGGTCTCGAACTCCTGGCCTCAAGTGATCCTCCCACCTCAGCCTCCCAAAGTGCTGGCATTACAGGCATGAGCCAGCACACCTGGCCTCTTTTCTTTCTTACCTGTGCTGAAACCCATCCCTTGCTGCATTTGTTTCGTTTCTCAGCCAATAATTCCCAAATCTCTGAAATTCTCCATAATCCATAAATCTCTAACTCCCTTCACTTCACCATATGAGATCATCATGCTTCCTATTTCACAGAATATGGAGGTTGTCAGACATAGTCTCCCTGAATGAAGTTTCCCTACCAGATCTACAAGCCTACTTGAATTCCACACAGGGTGTCTTTCCCCTTCTCTCTCGTTCTATTAGAGGCATTCTTCACATCACCGTGAACCCCACACCTGTGCTCTGCATCCCAGCCTTTCCCACCTGCTCGGTGCTTTGCTTCAGTTTCCTCCCTTGCCTGGTTTGCCTCTTCCTCTCAATAGTCCCTTTGGCACTTAAGCGTGCTTAGATCTTAAGTTAAAAAAAAAATTGGAAAATCTCAAGTTATTCCTTGTACTCTTTTTTTTTTTTTTTTTTTTTTTTTTTTTTGAGACAGGGTCTCACTCTGTTGCCCAGGCTGCAGTGCAGTGGTGCTATCTCGACTCACTGCAACCTCTGCCTCCCAGGTTCAAGCAATTCTCTTTCGTCAGCCTCGTGAGTAGCCGGGATTATAGGAATGCACCACCAAGCCTGGCTAATTTTTGTATTTTTGGTAGAGACGGAGTTTCACCATGTTGGTCAGGCTGGTCTCAAACTCTTGACCTCAAAGATTCACCCGCCTCGGCCTCCCAAAGTGCTAGAATTATAGGTGTGAGCCACCACACCTGGCCCTAAGTTGTTTCTTTTGTGGCAAACTTCTGGAATAAGTTTCTACCGGCTGACTCCAATTACTTGATCTTCACCCTGTGGCTGCCTGCCTTCTACCTCCAGTACCTGGAAGCAGCCCCTGAGGATGACAGTGAACGGATGCTCCTCTGTTCACCTGCTTGACTGCTGAGTGTTCCCAAGGCTGCTTCCCTTGTGTGTTGGACTGTGACAGGCCAAAGTGAGCGAGTACCTCACCACCACCACCCACTCCAAGCTGGCACGTCCTTGCCCGGCCTCGTCTTATCTCCTAAACTGGTCTCCTTGCCTCCACCTTTTCTCCGACAGCTCTCCATCGCCGAAGTTTGTTCTCTCGACAGCCTGTTCAATCGGATTGTGACGTGCTTTTGTGCAAACTTCTTTGGCTTCCCATCCCGTAGCCAGTTCCAAGTCCTTATTTTGGTCTACAAGGCCCTGTACAATGTGCTCCCCTGGTAGTTTATTTGGTGTCTGTCTTTCTGTACTAAAATGCAGGCACCTGGAGGTCAAAGACTTTGTTCTGTTGGCTGCTGTATCTCCATTTGCCTGGTGCATTGTAAGCATTCAGTACCTATTTGTTGAATTACTGCTTTCCATTTTGGATGTAAATGATGCACTTTTCAGCCCTGCCTTCCTCCACATTGCCACCCCTAGTAACAACAGTGGACATGAGTGTGGAGCGCTGTTGGTGGCACTTGCCCATTTTCACTCCTTTCATCTTCCCAGCAGCTCTGTGAGGCGGGTGCCCCCTGAGGCACTTCTGTCTGCAGCTCCTGCTCCTGCCTTCCTGCTGGGTTTGACAAGCATGCAAAACCTGGATTGCCCCTTCCCCAGGCCATTTCTGGGGGTTGTGTTTGCAGCAAGAAAACTTGTATCCCCTCAGGACAAACAGCAAGCTTGCTTACTACCTGTTATAAAAGAGGTGGATCCCCTAAGCTCAGTGCTCCTCAGCTGCAGCGCAAACCTACTACCTGCGCCACATCTATCCAGGCCTGTGGGACTCGGGGGCTCATGGAACTGTTCCATATGCTGGTGCTCATGCTGCCTGCTGCACTGTGAGTAATAAAGTCCTTTGCCTCTCACCGAGTCGTGTGTCTTCCACCAATATCCGTGAAACAATAACAGGCTAATGCATCAGCTTCTAAGGAAGGAGAAATCAAAGCCTATACCTGACAGTATTGTTATTCCTCTGTTAAAAGATGAAGCTGGACGCATAGAGAGATTAACTAACTTTCTCAAAGTCACATAAGTAGGAAGTTGCAGAACCAGGATCCAAACCCAGGCAGTTGCTCCCAAGTGTATGCCTTTAACCTCTGACTGCTAGTGTTTCTAAGTGCTGCTCTTGTGGAAACCCCACAGAAATCAGAGCCAGCACTGCACTCCTGTCTCTGGCTGCCTCTCTGCCTCTTGTAGGCTCCTCTTCCTCCAGCTCTCTTTTAAATCTTGTTATTCCTCTAGGGCTCAGTTGTAGGCCAACTTCTTCCCATACTCCACTGAAAAGATCACTGTTGAGACCCATTTCTGCCTGTAAGCTAATGACTCTTAAATCCAAACTGGAGTTCATAAAGCTTTCCTAGAGTCTAGACTCACGTCCAGCTGCAGCCCCACAGGCTTCTAAAATTCAATATGCTTGAAATAAACCCTTTTTCTACTCAAAACCTATGTTCCTGTCTAGTCCATTTGAGCTGATAACAAAATACCATAAACTGAGTAATTTTTAAATAACAGAAGCTGGCCAGACGCAGTGGCTCACGCCTGTAATCCCAGCACTTTGGGAGGTGAGGTGGGGGTGGATCTCCTGAGGTCAGGAGTTCAAGACCAGCCTGGCCAACATAGTGAAACCCTGTTTCTACTAAAAATACAAAAATTAGCTGGGCATGGTGGAATGCTTTCTGAGCCTGGATCCGCGGGTCTCGCACAGTTTCACACAGGTGGAATGCTTTCTGAGCCTGGATCCGCGGGTCTCGCACAGTTTCACACAGGTGGAATGCTTTCTGAGCCTGGATCCGCGGGTCTCGCACAGTTTCAGACAGGTGGAATGCTTTCTGAGCCTGGATCCGTGGGTCTCGCACAGTTTCAGACAGGTGGAATGCTTTCTGAGCCTGGATCCGTGGGTCTCGCACAGTTTCACACAGGTGGAATGCTTTCTGAGCCTGGATCCGTGGGTCTTGCACAGTTTCACACAGGTGGAATGTTTTCTGAGCCTGGATCCACGGGTCTTGCACAGTTTCACACAGGTGGCAAGTTTTCTGAGCCTGGATCCGTGGGTCTTGCACAGTTTCACACAGGTGGAATGTTTTCTGAGCCTGGATCCACGGGTCTTGCACAGTTTCACACAGGTGGCAAGTTTTCTGAGCCTGGATCCGTGGGTCTTGCACAGTTTCACACAGGTGGAATGTTTTCTGAGCCTGGATCCACGGGTAAGCCGATGAGTAGTGCAGAGAGAACTGGTCTGCGGGAGGAGAAAGAGGCCAGGTGGAAAGTGAGGCAGTGAGCTCTGTGGGGAGGGACAGGGTAGACTGCCCAGCGCCAGGCCTCTCTTGAGGTCAGCACTGAACCTACCTCCAACCTTTCACCTTACTCGCTTGAGGGCTGCCTGGCCCTGTGACAGAAAGGAGGCAAGTGTGCAAAGTGCTCTCACAGAAACACCATCGCCCCCTGGTTCCTTCTAGGTTCGGAAATTGGTTTCCCGGCTCACAGACAGCAATTTCTCATTTTGAAAGCCAGAATTCTAGATACTCAAAAGTTGCTTGTCTTGAATGCTTTGGACCAGGGGTCAACCCGCTGTTTCTGAATGTCACCAGATGGTAAATATTTTAGGTTGCACAGGCCTTTCGGTCTCTGTCACAGCTTCTCAACTTGGCCACTGTAGCACAAAAGCAGCTGCAGACAATCAGTGGAGGACCTGGTAATCTTCCAATAAAACTTTAAGAAACAGGTGGTAGGCCTGGTTTGGCCCACGCACTGCTGACCCTTGCCTTACACAAATCTGGGAGAATTTGGATCAATGCTTGTGAAAAATCCCTGCCAAGTGCAGACTGAATGTAACTATTAATTTTGATGTGTGTGTGTGGAAAATATTAATCTCCAAATCATTTTAAGAGTAAGTGTTGCCAGCATTGGCAACACTTGCTCAGGCTCAAACTTCAAATTTCTCCCTTAGGCCTACAAGCACAGGCATGTGTGAATTTCAGCCCTTCCGTGCTTTAGTGGTGCGACCTCAGGATAACCAAGGCAGTGCAGGCTAATTGTTAAGAGCAAGGAACCAAGAGTTGAAGGGTTCTAACTCAGATTTGCCACCTGCTAGGTGGATGACCTTGAGCAACTTATTAATACTTAACAGCTCTGCACCCTAGAGTCCTTGTCTATAAACTTCAGTCAATAAATGTTCCTACTGTAGCAGTGTTTTGCAAGGATGAGATAAGACAGGACGTGTAAAGTACTCAGCACAGTGTCTAGAAAGTGCTAAGTTTTCCAAAACTATTTGCCATCTGTCATTTGGTAAAGTTGGGAAAACACTTAGCAGAGTTCCTAATGCATAGCAAACTTTCAGTGAATATTTCTTCTTCCCTTTTTGTCGGGGAGGGGAACAGGGATCAAGGAGTTTCTGGGCAGGCTGGAGTGCAGTGGTGCAATCTCAGCTCACTGCAGCCTGAACCTCCTAGGCTCAAGCGATCCTCCTACCTCAGCCTCCTGAGTAGCTGGGACCACAGGCATGCACCACCACACCTGGCTAATTTTTGTATTTTTAAAAGAGATGGGCTTTCACCGTGTCTGAGACCAGCTGGGCAACTCCTGAGCTCAAGCGATCCTTCCGCCTCGGACTCCCAAAGTGTTGGGATTATAGGCATGAGCCACTGCGCCCTGCCTGAAATGAATCTTGTGGCTGGTCGGGGATACAGCAGGAGTTTCCCTAGGAGGGTATTCTTAACACATCCACGCTGAGCTCCTGGTGTGAAAAGGAGAACTTACCTACAGAATGTCATATATCAGATTTTATTGGTACGTTGCCATGTATCTCTAAAAACCATGCTGCAGAGGCTGCTTGGGAAGTGGGATGGAGCTGGGATGGTACCGCCAGGATGTCAGGTCTGGAGACAGGGTTCCAGTGCAGGCTGCATCCAACACGGGCACTGGGAGCTGAAAGGGTGGGGGACATTCCCCGGGAGTTTCCTCCACCCTCTCTTCCTTATTGGATCATCCCCATCAGCACAGAACCATGCTAGTATTTCTTCCATCTTTAATTTTTTTCCCTTTTCTGACCTCACTTCTTCCTCCAGCAAAACCCCTCCAAAACACTGTACTTTCTGCTTTTTTTTCTTTTTTCTTTCTTTTTTTTTTTTTTTTTTTGAGACAGAGTCTTGCTCTGTGGCCCAGGCTGGAGTGCAGTGGCGCAATCTTGGCTCACTGCAACCTCCGCCTCTTGGGTTCAAGGGATTCTCCCGCCTCAGCCTCCCAAGTAGCTGGGATTACAGGCGCCTGCCACCACACCTGGTTAAATTTTGTATTTTTAGTAGAAACAGCGTTTCACCATGTTGGCCAGGCTGGTCTCGAACTCCTGACCTCAAATGATCCGCCCAGCTCGGCCTCCCAAAGTGCTGGGATTACAGGCGTGAGCCACCGCGCCCAGCCTCTTTCTGCCTTCTTTTAAAACTTCTCCATTCAGGCTTTTTGTCGTCAGCCACTTCACCATAACTGCTCTCATCGAGGCCATCAGTGGTCTTCATGTTGCTAAATCAGATCGATTCTCCTGTCCTTGACCTGTCCGCAGCACTGGTCTGGTGTATCACTTCTGCACTTTCAGGCTTTCCTCACTTGGTTTCCTGGACACCCACTCCTGGTGCCCCTCTTCCCTCAGTGGCTGCTTCCTTCTCAGTCTCCTTTGAGGGTTCCCCCGCTCTCCACATTCTCTTCAAGCTGGGGTGCCCAGGGGCTGGCCTTCGACATATTTCTCGGACCTGTGTTCACTCTTTTGATAATCTTACCCACTCTTACGGTTTTACATACCATCTATTTACAAATTTGTATCTCCGACTAATTTGTTGTTGGAGACCCCACATCTTGAATCGGATGCATGGATCTCATCACCTACTCAGCACCTCCCCTTGCATGTGTCTTTGGGCATCACAAACGTGACACGTCCATCCTGAGCACCTTGCTCTCACCCCACTCCGGCTCCCACCTGTCCATTTCAGGTGCCAACAGCTCCATCCCGCCAGTTGCTCAGGCCACAACCCCCCGTTATCCTGGCTCTTCTTTCCCTCACACCACAGGTCCAGTCCATGAACAAATCCTGTGGGCTCTCCCTTCAGAACAGATCCAAAATCTGACCACTTCTCACCACCTCTGTTGCCACCACACTGGTTCAGGTCACCATCCCCTCTCCAGAGGGTTGTTTCCAACATTTGCTAACAGATATCCCTGGCATCGCCTTGTCTTGCGGTCTCCTCTCAGCACAGCAGCCAGAGTGATCCTCCTAAAATCTAAGCCATTAGGTAACTCCACTGCCTGAAATCCCCCATGTGTCCCCGCCTCACTCAGAGTACAAGCCCAAATCCTTACTGTAGCTCTAAGACCCTGCACTTTTGGCCTCCAGCTCTCTCTCCAGCCTCCTCTCCTACCCTCCCTTCCCATTCCCCCGCCTCCCTCTGTTCCCGGCACGGCGCCCCACCTGCGGCCCCCTGAACGTCGCAAGCAGGTGTTTGCCCTTGCTGCTCCCTCCATCTGGAATGCTCTTCTCCCAGACACCCTCACCTCCTTCACGTCTTTGCTGGAAGATCAGCCTCTCAGAGAGGCATGCCCCGATGATCCTATTTGAAACTGTGCTCCTGCCCCATCCAACAATTCTGTATAACTCCTTCCCAAACTTATTTTTCTCCCCAACACTCATTACTTTATAATACACCGTAACACTGATTTACTGTGTTTCTTTTCCGTGTTCCCCTGCCTCCACCTTGAGAATGAAAACTTCGTGAAGGCAGGATTCATTTTGTTTACTGCTTTTCCCCAGTGCCTAGAACAATGCCTTTTTGGTTTTGGATGGATGGATGGGTGGATGGACAGATGGGCTGGAGGCTCCCTACGCTTTCCAGCCATTGCTAACAACCATGGGGTGGTCTTCTGTGGAAACACCCATTCTTCCACTGTTGCCTTGTTCTGTGATGAGAAGGAGTCTGCATGCACTCAAGCAACTAACAAAGCTATTAATAAATGAAGACCCGCTGACTATGAGGTTGTCCTTTTTGGTTGTTGTTGTTGTTTCGAGACAGAGCCTTGCTCTGTCACCCAGGCTGGACTGCAGTGGCGCGACCTCAGCTCACTGCAGCCTCTGCCTCCCGGGTTCAAGCGATTCTCCTGCCTCAGCCTCCCGAGTAGCTGGGACTACAGGTGCCCGCCATGACGCCCAGCTCATTTTTTGTATTTTTAGTAGAGACAGTGTTCCACCGTGTTAGCCAGGATGGTCTCAATCTCCTGACCTCGTGATCTGCCTGCCTCGGCCTCCCAAAGTGCTGGGATTACAGGCGTGAGCCACCGCGCCCAACCTCTTTTTTTTTTTTCTTTTGAGATGGAGTCTCCCTCTGTTGCCAGGTTGGAGTGCAGTGGCACGATCTCGGCTCACTGCAACCTCTACCTCCTGGGTTCAAGCGATTCTCCTGCCTCAGCCTCGTGAGTAGCTGGGACTACAGGCACCCGCCACCACACCCAGCTAATTTTTTGTATTTTTTAGTAGAGATGGAGTTTCACCACGTTGGCCAGGCTGGTCTCAATCTCCTGATCTCGTAATCTGCCCACCTCGGCTTCCCAAAGTGCTGGGATTACAGACGTGAGCCTCCGCACCCGGCTGAGTTTGTCCTCTTTTTAAACATTTTATTTTAGATTTGATGTAAATATTTATTATCTATATTCCTTCTATTTTATAAAACTGTAATGTGCATAACTGAAAACTTGAAAAACACAGAAAGGCAGAAAGAAGAGGGGAAGGAATCACCAAATTTACCTCTAAATAAACAGCTGCATTGTGACCTTGCTGTATTCCTTTAAGGGGTTTTGTTTTCCTACACACAAGTTTGAGAGATGTGTTTCCCCTTAGGTAAAAGGTAAGAAAGTCCTTGCTCTTTTCCACCTAATAATACAATCAACATTTTCCACGTTAACCCAGTCATTGAGTGAGCATCATTTCTGACAGCTATGTAGTGTTTTATCAAGTGGATGAATATTTTGTATGTAACCAGTTCCCTAGTGTTAGAACATTTTAATGGCTCCATATTTTTCATGATTATAAATTATGCTACAGTAAAGGGATAGTTTTCTCTCAATAACAGCTTTTCTCAAATCATTAACTTGTCATTGCAGGGCCCTGGAAATGGAGAATGGATCTTAGCTTGAGCAACAGTCTCCATGCAAAGGTGTTGACTTGCAGAGTCATGACAGATGACAGGAGGGAAGAGGGGGAGGAGTGGCAGGTGATAGTTTAAAACTTTTTTCATTTTCATTATAAAGGTACTATGTAGTTACATACAATTTGGAAAATCCATGAGTTTGGAATGTGTCCCGGCTCCAGTCTTAATTAACATGAACACGTAGGTCTTCTTGGCCTCCAATTCCATCTGTACACACAAAAAAGCCTGGTCTCTTGCAAATTTATCTTCCACCCCAGGTATTTCTGGAGTCCCCAGGGGTTACCACAGACCATTGCAAGTTTGCCTTCTATTATCATTGCTGCTGGTTTTATCATTGCCACTAGAAGTTTCCCTACCCCCAGTATTCTTCAGGGAAGACTTGCATTTTGCCTCTGTTAAATCAAGGTTCAGTGGTGACAGGGTGACCAACTAGGGTATAAAAAAAAAAAAGAAAGGAAATAGTTTACTCACTTCTGCAGCATCTTAGGGATCCCACAGTGGGTTCACTTGAGCTCCCACATATTACAGGGCTGGGCGAGGTCATTCTTCACTTTGCACACCTAGTACTTTTCTGTCTTATTCACTGCTAGGTCTGGCATGATGCCCGGCACAGAGGTGTGCCCAATTGAGATTTGTGCATTGATTAACTTCATGAATGAACGAATGGCCCATCTGGCAGGAAGTACAGAGAGAGCTCAGTGATCTCACTGACTGGCAAAGGCACCAGGTGGCGTGGCAGGTGGCCGGATGGAAAGGTAGCAACAACCTCTGTCCCCGTTAGGCCCTCCCTCTCTTTCCCTGAAGCCCACCCACCCAAGGAGGGGTTACTTCACTGTCAGGGGTTCCCACAGCTCCTGGCTTCCTTGCGTCCCACTTACCTCTTCTCATTGTCGGTGTCTTCCCGGGGCCTGTCTCCCCTTTCTTGCTGGTGCTGGTGGGGCTGGCTGGTGGCCAAGCATCCTTGGGGCAGAGACTGTCCTCTTTGGTGTCCTCAGTGCCACGCCAGGGCCCAGCCTAGGCTGGTGCTCCACAACAGGCCAGGGGAGAGGTGAGCGAGACCCTGTGGAACATGAGTCCCTGTGTCTTACAACTTCCAAGAAAGAGATCTGCCCCTGGACGTTCAGAAGCTCAAATATGTCCCCAGAGAGCAAATTTCTATTGGCTTTGAGAAGAAGAAAACCCCTCCCGCCCCAGGGCAGTGGGTCCCAAACTTGGCGGCACCGCAGAATTACCTGGAGATCTTTAAAAATGTCTAAAGTCGGCCGGGCGCGGTTGCTCACGCCTGTAATCCCAGCCCTTTGGGAGGCTGAGGCGGGTGGATCACGAGGTCAGGAGATCGAGACCATCCTGGCTAACACGGTGAAACCCTGTCTCTACTAAAAATACAAAAAATTAGCCAGGCGTCGTGGCGGGCGCCTGTAGTCCCAGCTACTCGGGGGATTGAGGCAGGAGAATGGCGTGAACCCGGGAGGCGGAGCTTGCAGTGAGCCAAGATGGCGCCACTGCACTCCAGCCTGGGCAACAGAGCGAGACTCCGTCTCAAAAAATAAAAAATAAAAAACAAAAAAAAGGTCTAAAATCCAGGTCATATCCCAGACCAAATAAAGCCCAGTCCCTGGGGGTGGGACCCACCCACTCATCAGTATTTTTTGCAGTTTCCAGATAATTCCAACATGCAGACACATTTGGAGCCACCTCCTAAGTCCTCGGCCCATCACAGGCCCCACTTAATGAAAATCTGTTGAATGGACAATGAGTGAATGAACATTTGAGCCTTCACATCTTCGGCAAACACTTATGTGTCCTTTTCCCGGGTTTCAGGTTGTGACCTTGCTACCGCGTCATTCTATTAAAGATGAATCTCGAAATTCTCCTTTATTTTTTGGTAGCAGTTTTCTTGTTTCAGTTTTTATATCTAGGAATTTAATTTCTCTACATAGGAGAGTCTAGAAATGTAAACTACTTTTCAAATAAAAATCCTTTCCCAACTCATTTGAAGTGCCGTTTTTATCACGCAATGCCACATTCACGTCATTCAACACGTATTTCCGGCACACTGGCTATGTGCCAAGCACTGCTAGGTGCTGGGGATACTGGTATGGACAAGAGGGACACAATGGCTCAGCTGTCGCCACCCAGACTGATAAACTGGCTCATCTGATCTTGTGGCCTCTACCCAGGAACCGGCTCAGCGCAAGAGGGCGACTTCGACTTCCTATGATGTCATCTCCAGTCCCAGCAACCAGCACTGCTCACTCCCTGGACCCCTATCCGCCAAATTATCCTTCCCTGCCAGAGCCTGCAGACCACAGGAGAGGCAGACAGGGAGCACCCCCACAAACACACAAATATGGGATTTCAAGAATTTATGGTTATTTATGGTCAGGGCTTTGAGAGAACAGAACGCAATTCTGGGAAGAACAGAGGGCGCCTAGTTAATGTCAGGGGTGTGCGGCAAGTCCTCTCTTTGCAGAAGGGGCAGCTGTAGTTATGCACTGATGTGTCCGTTTAGCATTCGTCGCCCCCCACCCTCATGGTAAGCTTTTAGAAGAGCAAGACCACGTCCGTGTTATTCGCTGCCTTCCTACCTTCTGGTTTAACCACACGGGATCCTCGAACAGCCCTGCCCCGGGAGCTGGAACAGGTCTGGCTCGCCTTCTGCGGCAGGTGCCGGTGGTGCTGGGTGAGCCGGTCCAGCTCCTGCTCCAGCTTCTTAGCAAGTGCTCTCAGTTCCTCTGCTGTCTCCGTCCTTGCCCCATCCTCCAGGTGCTTCCAGCTCTGCAGGAAGCTGCTCATGTCTTTCATAAGTAAGAAGCCAGCCCCAGCAGCACCCATCACCCAGGCACCATTGGTCATGGCCAGAGTTGTGCCCTCAAAGGCTCTCTGCACCCCTCTAGCCGTCCAGAAAGGGATGTGTCTCTTGGCCACAAAATTCTTGACCATAGCCATGAAGCCAGAGTTGGATTTGGCCATCTGGTAGGCATGAAGATCCTTGATGCCCTGGATAGCTTTTACACACTTATTAACACAAAAGCCAGCAGCCTCGATTTCAGACCAATTTATTCCTCCGAAAGCCTCATGTGATGTTGTCAGAGGCCCCAGTCGGCTGGCTTTGTCTCTTGCTGCTGAATTGCTTCTATTTTCTAAGACATTTGTTACTATGTTGGTGATGGCAGCTGCTGCCCCCAACCCTGTCCCAGTTGCTGAGAGCATGAGACTGCCTCCTGCTGTCACAGGTGCTAGGGCCAAACCCAGGATGTTCATGACCCCAGAAACAGCCCCGGAAGAGCTGGCCACCAGGCTGGTCTTGGTAAGCAACTCGTGAGTGGTGTCAACTTGGTCCGCAAGGGTGTTAAGTTCTTTGATGTTCTGTTCTAGCTCAAACTTGTGCAAAGGAAAATATGAGAGAAACAATTTTTCCTCCTCTGACAGATTTCCATCTGGCATGGAATCTTTGTCACATCGCATCAGCTCTTCAAACAGAAAGTAGGACAGCATACCAGCCTCATCACTGTGGACAGTTGACATCAAATTGTTAATTTTCCAACTCTGGCACAGGTTCACGAGTGAGGCTAAAGACATCTAGGCAATCTGAGCACTAAAATGTGTGCAGGAGGCAGAGCCCTGAGAATCGAGGTACAATGTCGAAACCACCTTTGCAAAAATTCTAACAGTGGGGAAATTACAGCAGTGAAAGGGGTCTGACCTAACCGGCTTCATCTTGCTTCTAACCTCCAAGCTGTTCTCGTTCATTCTTCTGGGCATAAGCTGAACTAACTTTGGGAAGAACTTAGTTTATAGTTTAACTTTGAAACAAAGATGATAACAGCCCTTTCCCAGAAACAAACCCCCTTCTTGCCTAGGGACCAGACTGCCTTTATAGGACTAAAAAACTGGCCACAAGATTAGAAATTATAGTTTAGGTGTTATTCAGCCAGAGGCCACAAGATTCTAAACCTCCCCAATTGCTCCTCGAGATAACATCACTATTGTAAAACCTAACATGAGTGCTCGAGATATTTTTCAGACCCTGCACTCAATGGCTCAGCTGTCGCCACCCAGACTGATTAACTGGCTCATCTGGTCTTGTGGCCTCTACCCAGGAACCCGCTCAGCGCAAGAGGGCGACTTCGACATCCTATGATTTCAGCTTCAACCCCAGCGATCAGTACTCCTCACTCCCTGGACCCTTACCCACCAAATTATCCTTTAAAAAAAAAAACCAGTCCTGGCCAGGCGCGGTGGCTCACGCCTGTAATCCCAGCATTTTGGGAGGCCCAGGCGAGCGGATCACAGGGTCAGGAGTTCAAAACCAGCCTGGCCAATATGGTGAAACCCCATCTCTACTAAAAATACAAAAGTTAGCCGGGTGTGGTGTAGTCCAAGCTACTCGGGAAGCTGAGGCAGGAGAGTCGCTTGAACCAGGGAAGTGGAGGTTGCAGTGAGCCGAAATAGCGCCACTGCACTCCGGCCTGGGTGACAGAGCAAGAGTTCATCTAAAAAAACAAAACAAAAAAACAAAACAAAAAACCCAGTCCTCGAATTTTTGGAGAAACCGACTTGAGTAATAATAAAACTCCAGTCTCCCATTCATCTGGCTCTGCATGAATTAAACTCTTTATTGCAATTCCCCTGTCTTGATAAATCAACTCTATCTGGGCAGAGGGCAAAATGAACCCACTGGGCTATTACAATGTGGGCAGCAGACAGACAGACAGACAGAAGGTCCACTCTGGCCTGGAGCCCTGGGTGGGGGTGGCCGTGTGTTTTTAGCAGGAGCACAGTTCAAACTACCCCTATGCAGGCCTAGGCTGATGGCTTACTATTCCATTCATCCACAAACAGCTCTCTTCTAAATGTATGTGGATACAAGGCCGGGCACGGTGGCTCACGCCTGTAATCTCAGCACTTTGGGACACCGAGGCGGGTGGGTCACCTGAGGTCAGGAGGTCAAGACCAGCCTGACCAACTTGGTGAAATCCCGTCTCTACTAAACATACAAAAATTAGCCAGGCACGGTAGTGGGCGCCTGTAGTCCCAGCTACTCAGGAGGCTGAGGCAGGAGAATCACTTGAACCTAGGAGGCGGGGAGGTTGCAGTGAGCCGAGATCGCGCCATAGCACTCCAGCCTGGGCAACAGAGTGAAACTCCGTCTCAAAAAAATAAAATAAAATAAAAATAAAATAAATGTATGTGGATACTGATGTGATGAATAAAATGTAACTTAAAAGCTTTACTGACTTTGGTCACCAAGTCTTTTCCTAATAAAGATATACATACATGCATACATTTATAATGTATACATATATAACAAGTTGTCACCAATTTGATTAAAAAACAGTACCAAGAGTGTATGGAGCAGATGCTTTGATCTTCTTTCTTTTTCTTTAAAAAAAAAAAAAAGGTGGTTGCTTGAAAATTGTGGTTGCTTCTGGGCAGGGAACCTGGGACATCGGGAAACAGGATTTAAGGAGACCCATTTTTTTTTTTTTTTTTGAGACAGGGCTTCACTATATTGCCCAGGCTGGCCTCGAACTCCTGGGTTCAAGTCATCTTCTCCAGCAGCTGGGACTACAGGCGCATGCAACCACACCTAGCGACACTTACTTTTTACTATTTGCCCTTTTGTTCCTCTTAACTTTTGTGTCAAATGCATGTATGATAATTTTTAAAAATTAGTAAAAGAGTCTACATTTCCAAAGCAAAAGTTTGGGGATCTCCAAGAAGACAACCACAAATCCCCCTTCCACGGGAGAGGGCTCACTGTCATTCAGTGGGACAGTGTTGAATATTTTGAAAACAAAGTAGAATTTTTTTGTTTGTTTTGAGATGGAGTCTCACTCTATTGCCCGGGCTGGAGTGCAGTGGCGCGATCTCGGCTCACTGCAACCTCCGCCTCCAGAGTTCAAGCCATTCTTCTGCCTCAGCCTCCCGAGTAGCCGGGCATGATGCACCACCATGTCGGGCTAATTTTTGTGTTTTTAGTAGCGACAGGGTTTTGCCATGTTGGCCAGGCTGCTCTCCAACTCCTGACCTCAAGTGATTCACCTCCCCTCGGCCTCCCAAAGTTTTGGGATTACTGGCATGAGCCATCACGCCCAACCCAAAGTAGATTTTTAACAAAAGTGTGGTCACACTTAGAAATAGTGAGATCTACTCTGGCCGCTTGTTAACAGGCAAGTGGGGGGAGCTTGTAAATCTTAAGAAAAAGTGAGGAAAAGGGAAAAAAGGCACAACTGGGAAAATCCTCTCCACTCAAACTTTTCCTGTAGTTCGAAAAAAGAATCACCATTCAATTTTCCTGTTGAATCATTTTGGCTCAGTATCTGGAACTTCAGAGTTCTGCAAGACCTTTGAGAATCACTGTTCTTAAGTACCATTTTCTTATGGAATTTGGGGTTTCCAGCGTGTGTATTGCTGAACTATGGACTGTATGTGTGACTTTCTACAGCACGTAACAGGGTTTGACTTGTATATCCCTTAGGCTGGTTCTGGCCTGTCTCCTAATTGAGCATCTACAAGAGACTTGGCTTGGGTTTGATGGATAGTGAGAGAGGATCTATGGGAAAGGATGCAAGGCTGTGGGCAAACTGTACTTGGACCAAGGAACCCCACGGCCTCAAAGGAACTGTTGACAACAGCCTTAGAATCCTCTGCTCCTTAGCCAAGGCCATCAGCAGCCTCAAGTGGACCAGCCCTGGGTCCCTCCCTCCTCCCTCCTGGAGGAAGCGGGAGGGGCCTTCTGACATCCTTCCTCATCTTCAAGTCACTCTTTTAAGAAAAGACTTCATCAGGGCTTAAGGTGAACATCTCTGTAAACCTAGGAGTTCAGTGCCCCCTCTCCAACCTAAGTTTTAGAACTATGAGATGTTAGAGCTGGAAGGCCCTTCCAGATCGCCTTGTACACAGATGGCAAAGAGGCATAACCTCCCCGCTATTGTTAGTGAGGGTGTCTAAAGCACGGGAGAATCACGGTGACACATCTAGGCTCTTTGGGAAAGAGTGCTGCTGTGACCTAGTGGGTGCCCTCTAGGCACAACACAGAAGATAAATAGTATTCTGCCACATTTTTGCCATCAATGAGCCCAGTCCCTTATTTATAGAGAAGCAAACCAGCTCCAAAAAGGAGGGACATTCCCTGATTACAATTGAGTTAGTGGTGGAGTTAGGGTAAGAACCTAGGGCCGGGCGCAGTGGCTCATGCCTGTAATCCCAGCACTTTGGGAGGCCTAGGCAGCCAAATCACTTGAGGTCAGGAGTTCGAGACCAGCCTGGCCAACGTGGTGAAACCCTGTCTACTAAAAATACAAAAATTATCCAGGTGTGGTGGCGGGCACCTGTAGTCCCAGCTACTCGGAAGGCTGAGGCAGGAGAATCACGTGAACCTGGGAGGCAGAGGTTGCAGTGAGCCGAGATCGCGCCACTGCACTCCAGCCTGGGCGACAGAGGGAGACTCCATTTCCTGAAGCCTCTAGTCTGCCTCAACCACTGGCTGATTTTCCCCAAGATAGGAAAAATCATCCCTTTCCCTTTACCAAAGGAGGAGAGGTTAACATTGTACAAGCACATAGGAAGGGCCCCTGTTAACTCCAGTCCATGCAGCATGCATTGGCCAGTAGCCAAAGTCAAGGACACGGATAAGAAAAATGGCTGTGCCTGTGCCTGAAAAGTCAATGCCTTTTTTGGGGAGCTTTCTCAGACTTAACGGGAGCACTGGGGGGAAATCTTGACAGTGGAGGTGGGAGAGAGAACAGTAGAGGGAGGCTGGGCCAAGGACACAGAGAAGTCAATAACTGTACCTGTGTCTGAAAGCGCAGGCAACCCATTTGCATGACGCATGAAGATTTTATCTTTAGGCATTTGGTTGCTATAAATTGCGGGAGCATTGCAACCCACTTTAGAGAACCTTATGGACACTTTGGCAAGAGTTAAGTGCAACCTCTGTTAGGCAGCAGAGTTTGTTGTGAGTCTATTGCTGCAGCTGAGCTCTGTGGGAGAGTCTGAATGCCCAGGCCAAGGCAACGGAAAGGGAAGTCCCAGGAGCTTGGATCTCAAGGCAAGACTCAGACATTATCATGGGTTGGGAAAGGGTGAAGGCAGACCCAGGAAGGAATATTCCTGGATTGGGAGAAAACCAGCAAATTCTGCTTCTAGGATTCCATTGCCCTCTAAGCCATGTGTCTGGGCATCTATCAGTATACCAATGTACTTACCATTACCAAAGGATTTTTTTTTTTTAAATGAAGCCCTGCTCTGTCGCCCAGGCTAGAGTGCAGTAGTGGTGCAATCTTGGCTCACTGCAACCTCCGCCTCCCGGGTTCAAGCAATTCTCCTGCCTCAGCCTCCCATGTAGCTGGGATTACAGGCATGCTCCACCACACCTAGCTAATTTCTGTATTTTTAGTGGAAATGACGTTTCACCATGTTGGCCAATCTGTCCTTGAACTCCTGACCTCAAGCGATCCGCCCACCTTGGCCTCCCAAAGTGCTAGGATTTCAAGCGTGAGCCACCGTGCCTGCCCTTACCAAAGGTTTTACATTTTTTTTACTAAGATATTTTTTATGCGGATGTGTACATTTTATCTTTTTTGCATATCTCCAATTGCACATGAGACAACATGAGCAACACTTCAGCCAACTTGGTTGGAACCCATTTGTATGTTTCATCCTATGAAGGTGGCTACAGATCTGGATATTAACAATCAGATTTTATTCCTTCATTCAAATACTTATTGACAGCTGGGCACGGTGGCTCACACCTCTAATCCCAGCACATTGGGAGGCCGAGGCGGGTGGAGCATTTGAGATCAGGAGTTCAAGACCAGCCTGGCCAACATGGGGAAACTCCATCTCTACAAAAAATATAAAAATTAGCCGGGCGTGGTGGCGGGCGCCTGTAATCCCAGCTACTCGTGAGGCTGAGGCAGGAGAATCACTTGAACCTGGGAGGCAGAGGTTGCAGTGAGCCGAGATCGTGCCACTGCACTCCAACCTGGGCAACAGAGAAGAGACTCTGTCTCAAAACAAAACAAAACCCAAATACTCATTGAGTGCTGGGTCTGTGACAGACACTGTTTTGGATGCTGGGATTGTGGCCATAAGCATAACAGCCTGTTCTCTGCCCTCACGGAACTCAGGTTCTGGGGACTTCCCCCAGACCTCACCTCCGTAGATTACCTTTCGAAGCCACATTTCTTTACAACCTTCTCCCAAGCCTGGAGATGGACAAGGATCAGGGACATTTCTTCTTGAGTCATCTCAGCCCGAAAAGACATAACAGTGCTCCGGGAAAGTTGGCTGTCTAATTACAATATTGGAGAATTAGAAAAAAAAAAGAATACAACAAAAATCTTAATGTCTCAGAAATGTCACATGATTTTTGTCTAATGATTTTAAACAAACAAACCATGGGAATGCCCAAGGTTGACTAGGATGCAATAAAACTGGAAATCGCTTAGGCTTCTAGTGGCAAAGTAGATTGGTAAAGCACTTTTGAAATGTTGACGTTATACGTTAATGATATGGGAGCAGGCAGGGAAGTGCTGCTTACATAAAGGCATGGTCCCCGGTGAGGGTTCCACCCTCGGGCCTGGGCCCATGGATCTAAGTGAGGACAAGCATTTCTGCTTTCGCTCCCAAATGCTGCATTTTCTAAGACCACTCTGGCCCGCCATATCCCCACCTAACAGGCAGACACACACAAGTAGCTGGACATCGAGAGGAACACACAGGAAGAAGAATACACCGGCGGATGCTGACAGGTCATCCACGGCTGAATGACATGGAATTTAGCCAAAGGCAGTTGGAGGAGAACCGCTGAGTGGCCCAAATCCAGGGGAAGACCACCTTCCCACTCCATCCCCTTTCTGGCTCCCCATCCATCTGCTGAGAACTACACTCGATAAAACCTTGCACTCACTCTCCAAGCCCACGTGTGATCCAATTTTTCTGGCATACTAGGGTTAGAACCCTGGAGTACAGAAATTAGACCCTCTGCTTTGTCCTTCCGATAAGCTCACTGGGGCTCGGGAGCTGCAAACACTCAACCCTAGATGGGGCTGCTGTGGGGTCGGAGCCCACGCTCCCCAAGACCTGCCGGTCCGCATGCTCCCCCTAGGGGTTTGAGCCGCAGGGCACCGAAGAAGTGAGCCACACCCCGTTTTATACTGTGCAAGGGGGATAAGGGAACTTTTCCCATTTCGTTAAGTCACAAAAGTCTTCTGAGAATCATCCAACAACACAATGATAGGCACCAAGACAATCGGGGCCATGTTAATTGATAACATTTTTAACTTGGGAGCAAGTGAACGCTCATTCTGTCCAGTGCCTATCATCTATAGCCCTGAGAGAGGCACAGTCCAGTCCCTGCTGAATGACACCTGCCTGATGACAAGGCTCGTGGGCGGGATGGTGGTTGGTTTTACCCAGGCAGGCAACACAGCAGAGTCCACCTTGTTCAGACACTCTCTCTCACATTGCAGCTTCTTTTGTTGCTCAAAAATCACTTTAAATGTATTTTCAATATAATTTGACAAAAAGATAGTCAAATTTGACAAAAAATATAATTTGACAAAAATCACCCCTAGTTCTCCTGCAACATAACTATTGATTTCATTCTCTACTTCCCGTTATTTTTCAAATCCGTATTATTTTTCGCATGGCTTTTATACTTATAATGGTGTGTCCTGTTTTTATTTATTATTATTATTTATTATTATTATTATTTTTGAGACGGTCTCACTGTCACCCAGGCTGGAATGCAGTGGTGCGATCTCGGCTCACTGCAACCTGCGCCTCCTGGGTTCAAGTGATTCTCCTGTCTCAGCCTCCCGAGTTGTTGCAATTATAGGTGCGCACCACCATGCCTGGATAAGTTTTCTATTTGTAGTAGAGATGGGGGTTTCACCATGTTGGCCAGGCTGGTCTCAAACTCCCAACCTCAGGTGATACATCTGCCTTGGCCTCCCAAAGTGCTGGGATTACAGGCATGAGCCGCTGTGCCTGGCCACGTGCCCTGTTTTTAAAATGTAATGTTATACAAGTATTTTCCATCTTGCTATACAGTTGTTATAACTATTATTTTTGATGACTCTATGCTATTTCCTTAAGAGAAGATGTATTGTCATGTTTATAGAAACACTCCCTTATCATGGCACTTTGGCGTCTTTTTTTTTTTTTTTTTTTTTTTTGAGACGGGGTCTCTGTCTGTTGTCCAGGCTGCAGTGCAATGGCGCGATCTCCCAGTTCAAGCAATTCTCCTGCCTCACCCTCCCGAGTAACGGGACTACAGGTGTGCACTACCAGCCTGGCTAATTTTTTGTATTTTTAATAGAGACAGGGTTTCACCATGTTGGCCAGGCTGGTCTTGAACTCCTGGCCTCAAGTGATCTGCCCATGTTGGCCTCCCAAAGTGTTGGGATTACAGGCATGAGCCACTGCGCCCAACCGTGCTTTGGGGTCATAACAGTTTTGATATCCAGATGAGTTCTTTGATAATGTCGCCACCTTGTCCTGCCTGCTGCCTCTACTTTAACCAGAAATGGAACCAGTGATTGACCCCTTCCCCGCTGCCACACTGCTTCAAGCAGGGGCTTAAAGAGCTGCTTATGTTTTTAGTTAAACTTTACATTTTTAGTTAAACTTTACAAAGGAAGTTATTTGATGTAGTATTTTCAAACCTGAGCAATTGAGAGGGTCTCATGATATCTCCCTCATTAAAACCAAGGATCTGCTATATCTCCACCCAGCAATAGCATATGGTGGGTATAAAAAATAGTGTAACGTATTTTTTCTATTTCTGGGACAATTTGTACAACGTGAGAATTGCTTGTTTTCTGAAAGCTTAAAAGAACTTACCAGGTAACACCTTGGAACCGGGAACTTGCAAATTTCCTTGTTTGCCACATGGCATGCTTTAGATTTTTTAAAATTTAAGCTTATAATATGATTAATAAATATGACTCCCTTCTCCATGCCTGAAACCTGTCTCTCCCAGTCCTCACCTATTTTTTTTTCTTTTCTTTTCTTTCTTTTTTTTTTTTTTTGCGATGGAGCTTCTCTCTGCTGCCCAGGCTGGAGTGCAGTGGTGCAGTCTCAGTCACTGCAACCTCCACTTCCCAGGTTCAACTGACTCTTCTGCCTCAGCCTTCTGAGTAGCTGGGATTACAGGTGCCTGCCACCATGCCTGGCTAATTTTTGTATTTTTAGTAGAGACAGGGTTTCACCATGATGGCCAGGCTGGTCTCAAACTCCTGACCTCAGGTGATCCGCCCGCCTTGGCCTCTCAAAATGCTGGGATTACAGGCGTGAGCCACTGCGCTCAGCTGCTATGGCTTTTGGAAGGATGATTTAGGGTATCTTTCTTTTTTTTTTTTCTTTCATTTGGAGATGGTCTCATTTTGGCACCTGGGCTGGAGTGCAGTGACACAATCTCGGCTCACTGCAGTAACCTCCCGGGCTCAAGTGATCCTCCTGTCTTAGCCCCCCAAGTGGCGGGGACTACAGGTGTGCACCACCACACCCAGCTAATATATATATATATATATATTTTTTTTTTTTTTGTAGAGATGGAGATTCACCATGTTGCCCAGGCTAATCTCTAACTCCTGAGCTCAAACAATCCACCCTCCTTGGCCTCCCAAAGTGCTAGGATTACAGGTGTGAGCCACTGCACCTGGCCTTCTTGGGATGTCTCTTAACATGAGAAGTACATGTGCCTGACACTCAGCATCCCACCTCTAGAAATACACCCACCACGGACACAACACAACGGCACAACACAACACAACAGACAAACGTGTATGGATGTTCATCCAGTTATTTGAAGTTGTATAAAGAAATGGAAACAATTTGAAAAATCCATGCCGGGGACTGTTTACATGAAAATAGAGCAATACAAAATAAAGGTTTATGGATGTGAAAAGGAACGAGGCAAATCTATGTACAACTGACCTAGAAAGAGGTCCAGGATATATTAAGTAAAAGAAAAGAGGTTGAAGAATATGTTCTTTATATTCTTTTCTTATTTTTTTTAAGTACTATATATGTGATGTAGGAGTAGGGGAATATTCTCGAAGGAGATACACCAAATGTGAACAGGCTTAGCTCAGGGAGGGAGATTTAGGGCTAGGGTGACAAAATACTTTTGCACTTTTCACTCATCTATATTATTGAGCTTTGTTACCAAAGTAACTTGTTAGTTTTATAATAAAAGCCAATAGAAGCCAGGCACGGTGGCTCACGCCTGTAATCCCAGCACTTTGGGAAGCTGAGGCAGGTGGATCACCTGAGATCAGGAGTTCGAGACCAGCCTGGCCAACAAGTCTCTACTAAAAATACAAAAATTAGCCAGGCGTGGTGGTGGGCACCTGTAATCCCAGCTACTCAGGAGGCTGAGGCAGGAGAATCTCTTGAACCCGGGAGGCGGAGGTTGCAGTGAGCTGAGATTGCACCACTGCACTTCAGCCTGGGTGACAGAGCGAGACTCTGTCTCAACAACAACAAAAAGCCAATAGAATAAAAAGATTTTAGTAATGAGATTTATTATTCATTATTTTATCATAAAATCTCCCACTTGTACAGTAATGCATTTGGTGCAGGGAATGCTGCCAAGTACATGGTAAGACAAAATCTGACAAATTAATACTGTTAAATGTTAATATTGTTTTCTTTTTTTGTTGGTTCTATGTAAGTTTTTCTAACTTGTTATTTTGGCCTTTTGTGTCCTATTTATTTCAGGTTATCTCTTGGATGTAGAAAATTACTCAGATCTGATTTTGACCCAATTTGATACTTTTCTTAATGTTATTCATATTCATATTAATTATTTTTTGTTATAATTATTCAACTTTGATTTGTCCCATTATTTTAGGCATTCTGCTTTTTATTTCTTTGCTCTCTTCCTATGCTCTACATAGATAGGTACAGTGCAGAGGTTTCAGCTGATGCAGTGAGTGGTTTATTGTGGCAGCCCGGAGCTTCACCTTGAAGGCAGAGATGTGTGTTATCTGCGCTTTCCTGCCTACTCTGTGTATACCCAGTAAATGACAGATACAGAACAACACTTAGAATAAGACCTCATCATTCATGACACTAAGTTTTGTTTTTTTATGTATGTATGTATATATTTATTTAATTTTTGATACACAGTCTTGCTCTGTGGCTCAGGCTGGAGTGCAGTGGCACGATCTCGGCTTTGCAACCTCTGCCTCCCTTGTTCAAGCGATTCTCCTGCCTCAGTCTCCCGAGTAGCTGGGATTATAGGTGTGCACCACCACGCCCAGCTAATTTTTGCATTCTTAGTAGAGACGGGGTTTCACCATGTTGACCAGGCTGTCAACCTCCTGGGCCTCAGGTGATCCATCTGGCCACCTCAGCCTCTCAAAGTGCTGGGATTAAAGTCCTGAGCCACTACGCCCAGCTGACACTAAGTTTTTTATGTTTAAAATCTTGCTCAGCTCTCCCTGCTGTCCTGGGCTAGAATAGATCTTGGGAGATGACTCTATTAGACTTTATTTTGGGGAGGAGGCAAGAAGGGAGTGAGCAGGGCTGAGACCCAGCAAAGGCAGAGGATGATCATATAGCGGGAGTGGGAGAACCACTGGACAGGTTCTGGGTCTGTCCATGAAATGGGCTCATAGTTCCCTTCCAGTTAAATTCATCTCCTATGCAACTTTTGTGCTTTATGCATAGGATGAGAGGTCAAACAACATCATCTTGTGTTTGATTATGTACACAGATGTTTCACGAATCATCATATTTCATAATCGATCAATTTCTGATAATTTAAAAATGCATCTTCCATGAGAAAGCTCAGAATATCACACTGAGAGCGAGAAAGAACTACCCTTCTCCCCCTGCTTTGACTCACGTCTCCCAAACAGGGCGTTAGACTCTTCTGAGTGGTTTCCATTACAAGACACCCAGGAGGCCACCTTCAGTGGAGGCTGTGGCCACTGTGCTCAGGGATCACACACAGATGCAAGGAGCTTGCTCCTCTCTCCTGCCTCCTCTCTCAACACGGAAGAAGGGATCCACTGGCCCCAGTTCATTTATCTTGCTTTCTCAACTCTTCTCAGTCGGACACCCTGCATTCATTGCTGGAGGACACAGCGATCCTGAACTTGGAGTCTGGTTTTAGAGGCAGGGAGAGGCTCACGTAGACCTAAGCCAGGTAGTTCAGTCCATTCTGCCAGAGAGCTCTGCTCTGGAGAGTCAGCCCCAAGCCAGAAGGGTAAAACGAGGCATTGTCCTTTTCTGCTACTACTGTTTGCCATTGTCCCTCATGCTAATATCTCCCTCGAGGGCCACATAGTGAGAAGGCATGGCTGGGCCAAAAACAAATCTAGGCACTTCTGGAATTCTCAACCACACAACCAGATAACAGTGCCTGGACTGACCACAAAACTGGACCCATTAAGAGTTGCAGGGCCCAGAGGGATAACGCAGATTTTTATTTATTTTTATTTTTTTGAGACAGAATCTTGCTCTGTCATCCAGGCTGGAATGCAGTGGCATGGTCTCAGCTCACTGCAACCTCCGCCGCCCAGGTTCAAGCGATTCTCCTGCCTTAGCCTTCCAAGTAGCTGGGATTACAGGTGCGCACCACCACGCCTGGCTAATTTTTGTGTTTTTAGTAGAGACGGGGTTTCACCATGTTGGCCAAGCTGGTCTTAAACTCCTGACCTCAAGTGATCCACCTGCCTTGACCTCCCAAAGTGCTGGGATTACAGGCTTGAGCCACCGCGCCCGGCCAACACAGATGTTGTATTCTGACTTGAGTATGTATCTGGATCTGAGGTTCATGAAATACAGTCACCACAGCTAAGGAACCCAGGATGAGAGGTCTCTAATTGTAGGAGGAGTGTGAGCAGAATCTCATGGGAGATAGGGCAAGAAAGGGACTTTAGTTCCTCACCTTCACTTTCGGACCCAGGATCAGCCACATCCAGTGCCTCAAGTCACTTCATAATCTCTAGCATCTCCCGTTGTAGGTGGGGACAGTGAGCTGGGGTCAAGAGAATTTACTGAACAGGAGAGGATTACCTGGGTGGATTTTGGTTGGTGCTGCAGTCATGGTATCTCTGAGGATCCCTTGGCACTTCTCTCTCTGCAGATGACAATGGATCCTAGGCCGGAAGAGAGGCAGCTTCCCCTCCTAAAGAAGAAAACCGACCCCACAGTCATTCAGAGAGGCGATGAGTGGCGGGGCGCCATACGGAGCTGAGGCCTGGTGACTCCGAGATGGGAATTCGTAAACAGATAAAATCCACGGAGGATGGAGAGCTTAGAGGGGAGAAGAGCACTGAGGCTGGAGCTGGGAAACACCAATGGTAGGTGGAGGGGTTGAGGAATAACTCAGAGGAAGCTACCCCAGAGAGAGGGTGCAGGGAGGGACCCCAGCATCTGTTTCTTTCGCTGTCAAGCCTCTCGCTATCTCCATCATAGTACAGCAACTCTCAGAAGTGCTTGCAAAGACTTCTGGTTTGAACATGAATGGATCACATTCTCAATTTCTCTTCTTTCAAAAATTACCCATAAGCAACAAGGAAAATGAAGCAAATACCATCTATTAGAGACGAGGGAAAATAGATAAACTAGATTAAAAGGATGCCAAAAGCAATGGGAATGAGCAGGGCTTTGGGAGGAAGAGGAGAGAAGATGTTGATAACTGCAAATTTCAGAGAAAAGAAAAGCCTCTCTTCAAGGCAATGGGTGTTCCCAAAGTGCAACAATAGAATGCTGTGTTCAAAATAGTAAGACTAAGGTGTACAGGTTGGCAGTGAATCCACTAAGGTGTACAGGTTGGCAGTGAATCCGGATTGGTTCCACAAAGCAGTGACGATAGGACTAAATGAGGAAACACAGTGAGACAAGCCATATTTGTAGGAAGCAGTTTGTTTTTGAGGCAGAGAGGGGAAAAGACTCCACCTTGTGAACAATCTGAAAACTGCCAATTCCATTGCTGGGGAGAAATATATACTAGAAATTCAGGTAGAAGGCCCAGGTCATAAAGAACAGTTCTGCTAGCCTAGAACACAGCCCTGGCTTTTTTCTATTTAATTTTCCATAAATAGCTGGTCCATGAAAAGAAGAAAAGCCATCAACACAAGGTCTACACAAAAAAAATTAATAACAAAAAACCCCCAATTTTTAAAATGGACAAAGGATGTGAATAGATATTTCTCCCAATATGTGCCAATAAGCATGTGAAAAGATGCCCAACACCTCTAATCATTAGGAAAATGCAAATCAAAACCACAACGAGGTTAGGTACGGTGGCTTATGCCTGTAATCCCAACATGTTGGGAGGCTAAGGTGGGAGGATCACTTGAGGCTAGGAGTTCAAGACCAACCTGGGCAACAATAGTGAGACTCTGTCTCCACAAAAAATTAAAAAATAATAATTATTTTGAAAACCACATGAAATACCACTTCACACTTATGCAGACGACTCTTACCGAAAAATAAAAATGAGCCGGGTGTGGTGGCTCATGCCTGTAATCCCAGCACTTTGGGAGGTTGGGGCAGGAGGATCATTTGAGTCCAGGAGTTTGAGATCAGGCTGGGCAACATAGAGAGACCCTGTCTCCACAAAAATAAAATAAAATAATTAGCCAGGTATGATGCACATGCCTGTGTCCCAGCTACTGAGGAGGCTGAAATGGGAGGATCACTTGAGCCCAGGAGGTTGAAGCTGCAGTGAGCCATGATAGCACCACTGCACTCCAGCCTGGGTGACAGAGTGAGACCCTGTCTCAAAAAACAAACAAACAGCAACAACAACAACAAAACACAACAACAACAGAAGGCTGGGCGCGGTGGCTCACACCTGTAATCCCAACACTTTAGGAGGTTGAGGCAGGTAGATCACCTGAGGTCAGGAGTTCAAAACCAGCCTGGCCAACATGGCGAAACCCCGTCTCCACTAAAATACAAAAATTAACCAGGTGTGGTGGTGCATACCTGTAATCCCAGCTACTTGGGAGGCTGAGGCAGGGGAATCACCTGAACCTGGGAGACAAAGGTTGCAGTGAGCTGAGATCATGCCACTGCACTCCAGCCTGGGCGACAAGAGCAAAACTCCGTGAGGGAAGGAAGGAAGAAAGGAAGGGAGGAAGAGAGGGAGGGAGGGAGGGAAGGAAGGAAGGAAGGAAGGAAGGAAGGAAGGAAGGAAGGAAGGAAAAACATGGTGAAATATATATTGTGGACAAGTTGGAATGCTTGTGAATTGCCGGTGGGAGTGGAAAATAATGCAGCTGCTGTGTAAGATAGCTGGTCCATAAAAAACAACACGTTTTTCACCTTGTGTAAAACAACAGGGTGGTTCCTCAAAAAATTAAAAATAAAACTAACATATGATCCAGCAATTCCACTTCTGGGTATATATATACCCAAGAGAATTGAAAGCAGGGTCTCAAAGAGATATTTGTATAACAATGGTTATAGCAGAATTACTCACAATAGCCAAAATGTGGAAACAAGCCAACTGTCCATTGATGGATGAATGGATGACCAAAAGGTGATATATACACATCATGAACTATTATTCCTCCTCAAGAAAGAAGGAAGTCTTTTTTGTTTGTTTGCTTTTTTTGTTGTTGTTGTTGTTTGAGACAGAGTTTCACTCTTGTTGCCCAGGCTGGAGTGCCAATGGCGTGATCTTGGCTTACTGCAACCTCCCACTCCCGGCTTCAAGCGATTCTCCTGCCTCAGCCTCCCAAGTAGCTGGGGATTACGGGCATGTGCCACCATGCCCGGCTAATATTTTTTTATTTTTAATAGAGATGGGGTTTCACCACGTTGGCCAGTCTGGCCTTGAACTTCTGACCTCAGGTAATCCATCCACGTTGGCCTCCCAAAGTGTTGGGATTACAGGCGTGAGCCACTGCGCCTGGCCAGAAGGAAGTTCTGACCCATGCTACAGCATGGATGAACCTTAAAGACATTCTGCTAGGTGAAATAAGCCACTCACAAAAGGACACACGCCGTAGGATTCCCCTTATATGGGATTCTTAGGGTAGTCAAATTCATGAAGCTAGGGAGCAGAGTCGTGGTTGCCAGGGGCTGGGGGAGGGGAATGAGGAGTTATTGTTTACTTGGGGCAAAGTTTCAGTTTTGCAAGAGGACAAGAGTTCTGTGGATGTTGGTGGCCATGGCTGCACAACAATGTGAATATACCTAATGCCACTGACCTGTACCCTTAACAATGCTTGAAATAGAAAATTTCAGGTTATATATATTTCACTACAATTAAAACGAATATATATATATGTGTGTGTGTGTACATATATATGTATATATATACACATTTATAGGCATTTAAGTATATAGACAAAAAGGGGTTGGGTGAGGTGGCTCACACCTGTAATGCTAACACTTCAAGAGGCCAAGGCGGGAGGATCACTTGAGCCCAGAAGTTCAAGACCAGCCTGGACAACAAAGTGAGACCCTGTCTCTACAAAAAAAAAAGAAGAATAAAAAAGAAAAAAAATTAGCCAGGTGTAGTGGTGCATACCTGTAGTCCAGCTACTTGGGAGACTGAGGCAGGAGGATCGTTTGAGAGCCTGGGATGTTGAGGCTGCAGTGAGCCATAATCACAGCACTGCACTCCAGCCAGGGCAACAGAGCAAGACTCTGTCTCAAAAAAAAAAAAAAAAAAAAAAAAAAAGAGAAAGAAAGAAAGACCTAAAGGCAGACAGCAACAACAACAAAAACAAAGAGCAGATAAAGAACACTCACCAGAAACATGCTGCCAGCAAGCTGATGGAAACTATCATTCTTCTGTAATTAATTTTGTTAAAGTTAGTGAAGGAATTTCCCCTACAATGCAAGAGCATAAAACAGAGATGTGAGGGCTCAGAGGAAACATGGCAAGGTAACAGGAGGAAAGCACATGGAAGCTGGTGGAGCTTAGGAAAGAAGAGAAGAGAAAAATAAAGTCATTACAAAAAAATCAATGCTCATTGGATTTTATACAAGAGAAAACAGACACTATTAAAAAAAAAGATATAGAAGACAGGGATGAAGTGAAAATAAAGTGCTGAAAAAAGTTTAGCAAAAACATATGGAATAAATAGGAATTTTGCTAATGCCAACATATGCTCCTTGGAATCCCCAAAGAAGAAAACTGGAAAATGTAAACAGAACAAATATTTAAAGATAAAATTGAAGAAATATTTCTAGATATAAAAGAGCACACTAGGTCCCAGGAAAAATGGTTGCTGAATGGTGGCAGCAGGGAAAATGTAATGAAGTTACTAGATTTCAGATAAAACAAAGGAATTTCTTGAGCGACCAAGTATGTTGGCTTCAGACTTTCTAGAACATTCAGCACAGAAACAACAGACTGGCGCCTACAATAGCCATGAAAATAGAAACTCTCAGAAGAAGTGTGTGTGTGTGTGTGTGTGTGTGAAAATTTTGTGTGTTTTATACCTTAGTATGATTTTTTTGGCATGCTATTAGTTCTTCAGAGCACAGAAGAAAAGACATTTTGATTCATAATACTATCTTAGCTTTGCTTTTTAGAATATATCTAGATACTGACAAAGATTATATCGCATTAGCTTTTTATTCAAAACCTGCATATGCATACGTTTTGCATGTTCTTGATAACAAATGTTGACACTTCGATAAGTAAAAGGAAGTGAACACAGGTCATTTCAAGTCCACCACCCATGGTAACCACCATCCACACTCATCTTTTGACTGACATATCATTTAATGAAAAAAAGACTTGACATCCATTTTCTCATGTACCACTCAAAATAGCATTGTAAGGGAAGCGCATTTGTGTTACTCGCATTGTGTAGCCAAGGAAATTAAAGTTCATTCGATTGAAGTACTTACCTGGGTCACCCTCCGTTGTCACAGTCTGTGGGCGCAGGGTAGCTACCTCTCGAGTAGTCCACGTTTTGTTCCTATATGGGTCCCCACAACATGACAGTAACTGGAATTTCAGGCAGATGAGCTGAGGCAGTTTTGAGCAAGGAGTCCAATGGTTCGGGCCACTGTTGACCACTGCCTGCCCCTATAAATATATAACTACTCAAGGGAGTTGCATAAATATTCTGGTCTTCTCATCAGAAAAAAATCAGCGCAGAGGAAAGCGTATATTTATCTTGGAACAGAACTGTAACCATGGACGGCTCTGCCCCTTCCCCCCTTTTTAATCCAAGCGATGTTTGTGAAGAGCACAGATGTGATCCTGAAGGTTCTTGACAAACCAGCACTTCCCAGATTTTACCGTGTAAATCATTCCCTGGAGACCTTATCAAATTGCTGATTGTGTTTCAGGAGGTCTTGGACAGGACAGGGCCTGGAATTCCGTATTTCTTTTTTCTTTTTTTTTTTTCTTTTTTTTGAGACAGAGTTTTGCTCTTGTTGCCCAGGCTGCAGTGCAGTGGTGGGATCTCGGCTCACTGCAACCTCCACCTCTCGGGTTCAAGCGATTCTCCTGCCTCAGCCTCCCAAGTAGCTGGGATTACAGGCTCATGCCACCATGCCCAGCTAATTTTTGTATTTTCAGTAGAGACAGGGATTCACCATGTTAGCCAGGATGGTCTCGATTTCTCTCTTTTTTTTTTCTTTTTGAGATGGAGTCTTGCTCTGTCTCCCAGGCTGGAGTGCAGTGGTGTGATCTCGGCTCACTGCAACCTCTGTCTTCTGGGTTCAAGCAATTCTCCTGCCTCAGCCTCCCAAGTAGCTAGGACTACAGGTGCGTGCCACCATGCCCGACTACTTTTTTTTGTATTTTTAGTAGAGACAGGATTTCACCATGTTTGTCAGGCTGGCCTCAAACTCCTGACCTCAAATGATCCGCCCGCCTCAGCCTCCCAAAGTGTTGGAATTATAGGCATGAGCCACCGTGTCCAGCCGGAATTCTGTATTTCTAACCGAACTCCCAAATGACACCAGTGCTGTCAGTCTTGAAGAGAACAGAATAGTCAGATGGTAAGAAAAACCCTTCTCCAGGGCACCATGGCTCTCAGGCTAAGGCCGAGGACTTTTTCTGTGGTTTCTATGGCCTGATGAGAGGCCCCCCACCACTCTCCACTCTCCTCCTTTACTCTCGTTACTGAATAGTCCCTTGATCCACAAAAGGTCCATTTCCAGCAAATGTGAAGAATTCCTATAATTAGTAAGAAGAAGATGTATAGTCCAATAGAAAAGTGGATGAGAAACTTGAAATAGGTACTTCACAAACGAAGATATCCAATGGCCAGTTAATATTTAAAAAGATGCTCAACCTCATTAGTACAGTCATTCCTCACCTAACGAAGGGGACACATTCTAAGAAATGCATCCTTAGGCAATTTCATCATTTCACAAACATCATAGAGTATATTTACACAAACCTAGGTGGTCTGGCCTACTCCATGCCTATGCTACGTGGTATGGCCCATTGGTCCTAGGCTACAGGTCTGTACAGCATGTGCTTGTACTGAATATTGCAGGCAACTGTAACACAATGGTAAGTATTTGTGTATCTAAACATCTCTAAATATAGAAAAGGGACAGTAAAAATATGATATAAAAGATTAAAATGGGCTGGGCACCGTGGCTTACACCTGTAATCCCAGGACTTTGGGAGGTCAAGGCCAGCGGATCACTTGAGGTCAGGAGTTTGAGACAAACCTGGCCAACATGGTGAAACCCCATCTGTACTAAAATACAAAAATTAGCCAGGCGTGGTAGCGCATGTCTGTAATCCCAGCTACTTGGGAGACTGAGGCCCAGAATCACTTGAACCTGGGAGGCAGAGGTTGCAGTGAGCTGAGATCGCACCACTGCACTCCAGCTTGGGTGACAGAGTGAGACTCCATCTCAAAAAAAAAAAAAACAAAAAAAACCCGTTATAATTTTATGGGTTACCCATCTTTGACCAAAACATCATTATGCAGTGTGTGACTGTAATTTGTATTTCTTTTTCTTTTTTCTTTGCTTAAAGACGAGTGTGATAGTATATAATTTATAAGTAAGCAAATGCAAATTAAAAACGCAACGATAGACACGCCCTTCCCAGGCTGTGAAGCGCCGTCATGTGGTGAAGACCTGCCCTCTGCACACCAGGGAGACCCCAGACCTTCCAGGCCAGGGTCTGACAGCACTCACAGGCCTGACTCTTCTGTCAAAGTCTTGCAGAGCCCTAAGATCTCATTGCAATGAAAAATGCACTCACATCGTCAGCTCCCAGGCCAAACAACCTGGAGGAGTCTGAAAGGGGAAAAGGGGATGCCCAGGAGAAATCCACAGAGCTGCACCACCTTGGGGGACTGGCCCATGCTCAGTGGGGTTTCTTCACTGAGCCCTTCCCTGGGCTGGAGATGCTCATGTCCAAACTGGGCCCTGTAGGTCCTCTCCAGAGGCTTCAAAGTCTCCTTGAAGAGGCTGGGTGTGGTGGGTCACGCCTGTAATCCCAGCACTTTGGGAGACGGAGACAGGCAGATCACTTGACATCAGGAGTTAGAGACCAGCCTGGCTAACATGGCGAAACCCCGTTTCTACCAAAAATACAAAAATTAGCTGGGCATGGTGGTGCACGCCTGTAGTCCTAGCTAATCAGGAGGCTGAGGCAGGAGAATCACTTGAACCTGGGAGGCGGAGGTTTCAGTGAGCCAAGATCACACCACTGCACTCCAGACTGGGCAACAAAGTGAGTAAGACTCTCACTCAGAAAAAAAAAAAAAAAAAAAAAAAAAAATTAGCTGGGCGTGGTGGCAGGCGCGTGTAGTCCCAGCTGCTCGGGAGGCTGAGGTAGGAGAATGGCGTGAACCTGGGAGGCAGATCTTGCAGTGAGCTGAGATCACACCACTGCACTCCAGCTTGGGCGACAGAGCGAGACAGGAAAAAAAAAAAAAGTCTCGAAGCAACCAGAGGCCAACCAGCAGCAAAACTGGGGAGCTTTGGTGACCCCATAATTTGAGATGGTTGCTAATTGTTCTCAGAACAGGAAACCCAGAAAATATGTTGGAACATTGTTAAGGCTTTATAACCTCCTGTATAAATTTCCCTTATCTGACTGGGCGCGGTGGCTCACGCCTGTAATCCCAACACTTTGGGAGGCCGAGATAGTTGGATCACCTGAGGTCAGGAGTTTGAGACCAGCCTGGCCAACATGGTGAAACCTCATCTCTACTAAAAATACAAAAATTAGCCAGACGTGGTGGTGGGCTCCTATAATCCCAGTTACTAGGGAGGCTGAGGCAGGAGGATCACTTGAACCCGGGAGGTGGAGGTTGCAGTGAGCCAAGATCATGTCACTGCATCCCAGCCTGGGTAACAGAGCGAGACCCTGTCTCAAAATAAATAAATAAGTAAATTTCTCATATCTTCATCATATGCCGGAATTTGAAATCTATATTATCCAGAGTGTGCACTCCAACCATGTGAGTCACGCTTGTGTTTGGAGAATCCTGCAGTTCTGCTGGAGCAGGAAATGTGATATTTTGCTTCTGCACAATTAGTCATTTATATTGCCAAACTCAAGATACCCACACATGATTCTATCATTGACATTCTAAGTGAATTCTTGAAAAGTCCCCATTCTTTGCTCATCTTTTCCCTCTATGAACAGCATAATATGTTGGGAAGGGCTTTCCAGGTAGGCCTATTGGGGTCTGAATCCTGTATTGCTGGGCAAGTTTTCACCTCTAAGCCTCAGCTTCTCCATCTGTAAAATGGAGCTAACCCTACCTGCCTTTATGATACCTTATAATCCTCACAAATAACCTTGCATGTAAAAGGCCTCGGATCTATGTAAGTGCTTTGCAATATTAGTTTTCTTCCAGCTTCTGGTTTTTTTTTTGAGACAGGGTCTCACTCTATCACCCAGGCTGGAGTGCAGTGGTGTGATCTTGGTTCACTGCAGCCTCAACCTCCCAAACTCAAGTGATCCTCTTGCCTCAGCCTCCCGGGTAGCTGGGACCACGGCCGTGCGCCACCACCCTCAGCTAATTTTTGTATTTTTTTGTAGAGCCAGGGTTTTGTGCCATGCTGCCCAGGCTGATCTCAAACTCCTGGGCTCAAGCAATCCTCTCAATTCGGCCTCCCAAGGTGCTGGATTTACAGGTGTGAGCCACTGCACCTCGCCAAGTTTCTCATTCTTGAAAGGTAGGTTATGACAGCCCCAAAGCAATTTTCATAACAAATCTACCTTTGTAAATTTAAGGATATGTGTTAAGCAAAACAATACAGTTTCCAATGACAAAATCAATAAGCAAGTAACTCCTTGGGCTATGGGATGACCATGAATGTTATAGAAAGATTTGGATGGGCCATGAACAGTCTGACTGGGGCTTTGAAGAAGAAAGTCTTGGAAGGCAATAGATTGTAAATTCGTCCAAGAGACCCAGGGCCCCACCCAAAAGTCCAATCCTGCTTATAGCCACTGCCTTTCCCAAGTCAAAGTCTGAAAAAGCTCATTAGTACCAAGACCCAGCTCTATGTCAGACAAAAGTAAATCTTGCCCTGGGCCCTGCTCAGGCCAGGCCAGAAGAGCACGAGTGACTCAGAAAACTCCATTTATTGACCTCTAAATCTAACAAAATTAAGATCTCTGCAGAAGCATTTTGAGAAGCCCTTGGTCTTGTTCCCACTGCTCTGCTCACTGAAGTGAACTCACTTCTGTTCCTATAGCCTTTGTATCTGTTTTCTGAAAAGCTAAGAGAACTTCATGTGCCTGTTTTCTTTGCAGTCACTCAGCAGTTGTGGTCAGCATAGAATGCAGGGGAAAAAAGCCAGAAAGACCGAGAAGCTTTTCCATAGGCGGGCCCCACAGCCAACCCAATGCCGGATCCTCTCCAGGTTGAGGGGAACGAGTTGCTCTTAATGACTGTTGGGCAGTGGACCATAGGAGCCCAACTGCTCTATGAAATGGCTGTTCCTGGGACACCTGTGAGCAGACACAGTGCCGTGGAAGGGCCAGTTGGTGCAGCCACCCAGGGCTCAGAGGATGGTGAAGGTGAATCCACGGTACGCCTAGGATATACACAGAGGAGAAGAGTGAGGTGGACATTGGGCAGCCAGTGTGCAGCTATTTTCACCGACCGGCTCCACCGCCTTGGCAGGGCCAAGCATCGAAGCAGAGGCTCGCTGCAGCCAGACACTGGGCTGCTCCACTGGCGACCCAAGCCACAAAGCCTCAGTTCTGGAAGGGGATGGTCCACTAATTCGTGCTCAGCTTTAAAATGGGAGGACAACTCAGCAATTTGTTGGAGGGCTAAACAAGTTAACACAGGTAAAATGCAAGGTAATTCTGAGATAGCATCAGTATTATTTTGGTCGTGGTTGTAGTTTTATTGCCAATTCTAAGCCTTTCTCAGAAAGATATTACCCCTAACATCGCAGGGGTGTACACCCCCTTGTGATACTGTTCCTTATATGCTGGGAGGGAGACGATGATACTAGTGGCAGTATCGCAGGGGGTATACACACCCACTGTGATATTGTTCCGAATATCCCGAGGGGGAGAAAATGATATTACTCCCAATATCGCAGGGGGTGTACATCCTCCTGTGATATTGTTTCTTATATTCAGGGGGAGAGGATGATATGACTCCCAATATCGCAGGGGTTCTACACACCTCCTGCGATATTGTTCCTAATATCCTGAAGGGGAGAGCATACTATTACTCTCCATATCGCAGGGGGTGTACACCTCCTTTGTAATATTCTTCTTAATATCCATGATGGGAGAGGATGATATTACTCCCAATATCGCAAGAAGTGTACAGTCGCCTGTGACATAGTTCCTAATGTCTAGGTGGGGAGAGGATGATATTACTGCCCATATCGCACGAGTTGTAAAACCCCTTCGATATTTTGCCTACAATCCTGAGGGGAGAGGATGATATTACTCCCGATATGGAAGGAGGTGTACACCCCCCTGTGACATTGTTCCCAATATCCACGTTGGGAGACGATGACATTATGCCCAATATCACAGGGGATGTACACCCCTCCTGTGATATTGTTCTTAATATCCTAGGGAAGAGAGGATGATACTACACCCAATATAGCAGGGGGTGTACACGCACCCAGTGATATTGTTCGTAATGTACTCCACCCCCCACCCCAACCAGGGATATTGTTCCTCATATCCAGGGGAAGAGAGGATAACATTATGCCCAATATTGCAGGGGATGTACACACCCTCTGTGATGTTGTTCCTAGTATCCAAAAGTAGAGACGATGATATTACTGGCTATATCGCAAGGGGTGTACACCCTTCTGTGATATTGTTTTTGCTATTCAGTGGGGGAGAGGATAACATTCATCCCAATACCACAGAAGGTGTACAGACCCCTCTGATATAGTTCCTAATGTACAGGGAAAAGAGAATAATATGACTCTCAATATCGCAGGGGGTGTAACCGCCTTGCCCCCCATATATTGTTTGTAATATGCAGCGGGGTAGAGGCTGATATTACTCCCAATATCCCAGAAGGTGCACACATACACCTGTGATACAGTTCCTAATATCCAGCGGGAAAGAGGCTGATATTACTTTCGATATTGCAGTGGGTGTACACCGCCCCCAACCCCGGGGTAGTGTTCCTAATATCCAAGTGGGAAGAGGATGACATTGCTGACAATATCGAAGGGGGTGTACACCTCTTCTGTGATATGGTTCCTGATATCCAGGGGGTGAGTGGATGATATTACTCCCAATAACGTAGGAACTGTACAGCCACCCTGGGATTTTGTCCTTAATAACCACATGGGGAGAGGTGATAATACTCCCAATATTGCAAGGGGTGTACACCCCTCCTGTGATATTGTTTCTTATATCCAGGAAAGGAGAAGATGGTATTACTACCAATATTGAAGAGATGTACAGCCCCCATGGGATATTGTTCTAAATATACAGGTTGAAAGAGGATGAGATTACATCAGATATAACAAGGGGTGTACACCCCGCCTGTGAGATGAATCTTAAAATCTGGAAGAACAGAGAATGACATTGCTTCCAAAAATACACGGGGTGTACACCCACCCTGTGATATAGTCCCTATCATCTGAAGGAAGAGATGATGATATTACTCCCAATACCGGAGAAGGTACATACACTCCTGTGATATTGTTCCTCATAACTGGTGGGGGAGAGCATGATATTATTTCAAATATGACAGTGGCTTGACAGCCCATCTGCGATATTGCTCCCAATTTCCAGTAGGTAAAGTACGATGCTCCTCCCAAGAGAGTAGTGGAAGGACATCCGCCCTGTGATATTTCTCCGAATATTCAGGGAAACACAGGAAGAGATTAGCCCAAATCTCACAAAAAGTGTACACCCATTGTGTGATATAGTTCCTAATATCCGGAGGTGCAGAGGATGATATCAGTTTTCATATCTCAGGCTATGTAGGCAAACCCCATGAAATTGTTCCGAATATCGGGGAAAAAGACCGCTAATAATGGATATACATCGCAGGGGGGTGATGATATGGGGAGCAATAGCCACCCCCTGCCCCCCTGGCTATTACGGTACACATCGCAGGGGGATGAGGCCGCCCCTCGCGATGCGGGGAGGAATAGCCACCCCCCCTCCCGCCCTGGCTATTACGGCCCACATTAGTGGACTCACAGCCTGTCTACGATATCGTGAGTAATATCATCTCCGCCTCTGGAAATTATGATCTATTTCACAGACGAGTGTACACCATCGGTGCACAGACCTTGTACATCCGTCTCTATTGGGAGTAACATCGTCCTCGTCCTCCCTGAATATTAAGAACAGTATCACAGGACTGTTTCTACTCCCTGCAATATTGGGTGTCACATCCTCCTCTTCCACGTTGAAATTAGAAACAATATCAGTGGCGGCTTGTACACCTTCTGTGATATTTAAAGTAATATCATCCTCTTCCCTCCAGGATCATGGGAATAATATCCTTGGGCGGTGTACGTTTTCTGCGATATATGTGGTAATATCATCCCCTTTGCCTTGGAATATTATGAAGGACCATCTCACATGGGGTTGCAGAACCCTTGCGATATTGGGAATATTATTATCCTCTTTCCCCTCTGCATATTTGGATAAATATCAGAGTGGGTGTACACCTCCTGCGATATGGGGATTAATATCCTTTTCTTTCTTTCTGGATATTAGAAACAATATCACACGGGGGTTTACACTTTCTTCCATATCTGGAGTAATGTCATCCTCTCCTGTTCTGAATGGCAAGAACAATATCTCAGGGGGGATGTACACCCCCTGCCATATTGGGGTAATATTACGCTGTCTCCCCCTTGATATTAGGAACAAAATCCCAGCGTGGGTGTACACCTCCTACTCTATGGAAAGTAATGCGGTCCTCTCCCTTCCTGCATTTTAGGGACAATATCACAGGATGGGTGTACACAGCCTGCGATATTGAAAGTAATATCATCCTCTCCCCCTCCGGATACTAGGAACAGTATCACAGAAGGGTTGTACACTCTCTGCGGTATTGGGAGTAACATCATTTTCGGCTTCCCTGAATATTAGGAGCAATATCTCCGGGTGGATGTACACCCACTGTTATATTGGGAGTAATGTCCTACTCTACCCCCTGGATATTAGGAGCAATATCACATAGTGGGTGTACACCCACGGCGATATTGAGGGTAATCTCATGCTCTTCCCTCCCTGGATATTAAGAACAGTATCACAGGTGGGTGTACACCACCTGCAGTACAGAGAATAATATTCTCTTCTCTTTCTTTAGCTCTTGAGAACAATATCACATGGTGGAAGGTGGGGGGGTACACCACCTGCACTATTGGGAGTAATATCATTCTCTCTTATTCTGGATAGTAGGAAAAATATCACAGGCGGGGTATACAACCCCTGTGATATTGAGAGTAATATCATCCTCTCCCACGTGGAAATTAGGAACGGTATCACTGGGGGCATGTACACCCCCTGCGATATGGGAAAGTAATATCATCCTCTTCCCTCCTGGATCATGGGAACAATATCACTGGGGGTGTACACTTTCTGCGATACCATCTTCCCTGCCTTGGACTGAGAAGGACATGAAGGACAATATCACGGGCGGGTGGGGGGGGGGGCGTGTACATCTTCTGCAATATTGGGAATAATATTATCCTCTCTCCCCCTGCATATTAGGAAGGATATCACAGAGTGGGTGTTCACCTCCTGCGATATGGGGATTAATATCATCTTCTCCCCTTCTGGATATCAGGAACAGTATCACACGGGGCTGTACACTTTCTGCGATATTGGGAGTGATATCAACCTCTCGGCCTTTGGATATTAAGAACAATATCACAGGGTGGATATACAGCCCCTGCCATATTGGGAGTAATATCTGCCTCTCCCCTCCATGGAGATTAGGAACAATATCCCAGGGTGGGTGTGCACCTCCTGCTCTATATCATCCTCTCCCTTCCAGGATATTACTAACAATATCACAGGGTGGGTGAACACAGCCTGCGCTACTGGAATTATTATCATCCTCTCCCCCTCGGGATGCTAGGAAAAATATCGCAGAAGAGGTGTACACTCCCTGCGATATTGGGAGTAATATCATACGCTTCTTCCGTGAATATTTGGAGCAATATCACCAGGTGGCTGTACATTCATTGCTATGTTGGCAGTCATGTCATACTCTACCCCCTGTATATTAGGATCGATGTCACAGGGTGAGTGTACACCCACTGCGATATTAAAACTGAAATCATGCTCTCCGTCCCTGGATACTAGGAACAATATCACAGGTAGGTGTACACCCCTGAGGGATTAGGAGTAATAATATTATCAATTATTAAACATCAATTATCAATTTTAATAATAATTATCAATGTTAATATTAATTAATAGTATAAGATTATTAATTATTGATAATTATTTTAAATATGTCATCATGCACGATTAAAATTAATTATTGATATGAATGCCATTTATCAATAATATTGGTTATTAAACAATATTAATTATTATTTTATTAGCAACATCACTTATTGATTTAATTAAGATTAATTACTGATATCATTACTTCATTATTAATAGTGACATTACTATTAATTATTAATACCAATCTTTAATATTTTTAACCAGCATTAGTTTTTACTCCCTTTATTGTAATTATTAATATCGGCGATTAGTATTAATTTTTATTATATATATTAATATTAATAATTAATATAATTTTTCCTGATATCCGGGGAGGAGAGGATATTACTCCCAATATCGCAGAAAGTGTACACCCCTCTATGATGTTCTTCCAAATAGCCAGGGTGTAGAGGATGACATTATTGAAAATATCGCAGTGGGTGTACATCCCTTCGGTCATCTTGTTCCTAATATTCTGGGTGGGAGAGGATGATATGACCCCCAATATCGCAGGGGGCGCAGACCTCCCCCGTGATATTGTCCCTAACATCCAAAGTTGGAGAGGATGATAGTTCTTCTGATTTTGCAGGGGTTGTACACCACCCCTGTGATATTGTTCCTAATATCCAGGGGGCAAGAGGATGATATTAGTCTCACTATTGCAGGAGGTGTACACTCCCTAGTGATATTGTTCCTAATATCCAGGGACAGAGAGGATGATATCACTCCCAATAGAGCAGGGGGTGCACACCCCTTCTGGGACATTGCTCCTAATAGCCAGCGGGGGAGAGGAAGATATTATCCCCAATATCGCAGGGGGTGTACACCCCCTTGTGATACTGTTCCTTATATGCTGGCAGGGAGACGATGATACTAGTGGCAATATCGCAGGGGGTGTACACACCCACTGTGATATTGTTCCGAATATCCCGAGGGGGAGAAAATGATATTACTCCCAATATCGCAGGGGGTGTACATCCTCCTGTGGTATTTTTTCTTATAGTCGGGGGAGAGGATGATATGACTCCCAATACCACAGGGGTTGTACACACCTTCTGTGATATTGTTCCTAATATCCCAAAGGGAGAGCATACTATTACTCTCCATATCGCAGGGGGTGTACACCTCCCTTGTAATATTCTTCTTAATATCCATGATGGGAGAGGATGATATTACTCCCAATATCGCAAGAAGTGTACAGTCTCCTGTGACATAGTTCCTAATATCTAGGTGGGGAGAGGATGATATTACTGCCCATATCGCACGAGTTGTAAAACCCCTTCGATATTTTGCCTACAATCCTGAGGGGAGAGGATGATATTACTCCCAATATGGAAGGAGGTGTACACCCCCCTGTGACATTATTCCCAATATCCACGTTGGGAGACGATGACATTATGCCCAATATCACAGGGGATGTACACCCCTCCTGTGATATTGTATTTAATATCCTAGGGAAGAGAGGATGATACTACACCCAATATAGCAGGGGGTGTACACGCACCCAGTGATATTGTTCGTCATATACTCCACCTCCCAACATCAGGGATATTGTTCTTCAAATCCAGGCACCCCCCGCGATGCGGGGAGTAAGAGCCAGCCCCTCTCGCCCCCCTGGTTTTTAGGACCCGCGGTGGACTCACAGCGTTTTTACGGTATTGTGAGTAATATCATCTCCCCATCTGGAAATTATGAACTGTTTCACTGACGGGTGTACACCCGTCTGTATTGGGAGTAATATCATCCTCTTCATCCCTGAATATTAAGAACAGTATCACGGGGGTGTTTCTACTCCCTGCGATATCGCGTGTCATATCCTCATGTCCCACGTTGCAGTTAGAAACAATATCAGTGGGGGCGTGTCCACCTTCTGTGATATGGAAAGTAATATCATCCTCTTCCCTCCAGGATCATGGGAACAATATCCCTGGGGGGTGTACACTTCCTGCCATATATGTTGTCATATCACCCCCTCCGCCTTGGAATATTATTAAGCACCATCTCACACGGGGGTGTACCCTTCCTGCGATATTGGGAGTATTATCAACCTCTCGGCCTCTGAATGTTACGAAGAATATCACAGGGTGTGACCTCCTGCTCTAGTATGGGGAGTAATATCTATCTATTATGGGGAGTAATATCCTCTCCCTTTGAGGATATTAATAACAATTTCACAGGGTGCGTGAACACAGCCTGCGCTACTGGAATTATTATCATCCTCTCCCCCTCGGGATACTAGGAACAATATCACAGAAGAGGTGTACACTCCCTGCGATATTGGGAGTAATATCATACGCTTCTTCCGTGAATATTAGGAGATATCTCACCGGGTGGCTGTACATTCATTGCTATGTTGGCAGTCATGTCATACTCTACCTGCTGGATATTAGGATCGGTGTCACCGGGTGAGTGTACACCTACTGCGATATGAAAACTAATATCATGCTCTCCGTCCCTGGATATTAGGAACAATATCACAGGTAGGCGTACACCCCCTGCGGTATTAGGAATAATAATATTATGAATTATTAAACATCAGTCTTATTAATAATTATCAATGGTAATATTAATTAATAGTATAACATTATTAATCATTGATTATTTTCAAGATATGATTGTGCATGATTAAAATTAATTATTATTAATGTCACTTTTAATATTAGTTATTAATCTTAATATTAATTATTGTTTTATTACCAACATCACTTATGATTGATTGAAGTAACATTAATTACTGATATCATTATTTTATTAATAATATTGCTATTAATTATTAATAGTAATCGTTAATATTTTTAATCCGTACTGTTTTACTGTCTCTACTGTAATTATTAATATCGATGATTACTATTAATTGCTATTATATTTATTAATATTAATAATTAATATAACTGTTCCCGATATCGGTGGAGGAGAGAATATTACTCCCAATATCGCAGAAAGTGTACACCCCTCTGTGATGTTACTCCTAATAGTCAGGGGGCAGAGGATGACATTATTGAAAATATCGCAGTGGGCATACATCCCTTCGGTCATCTCGTTCCTAATATCCTGGGTGGGAGCGGATGATATGACTCCCAATATCACAGGGGGCGGAGACCTCCCCCGTGATACTGTCCCTAACATTCAAAGGTGGAGAGCATGATATTTCTTCCAATTTCGCCGGGGGTGCACACCACCCCTGTGATATTGATCTTAATATCCAGGCTGCGAGAGGATGATATTAGTCTGAATATTGCAGGAGGTGTACACTCCCTAGGGATATTGTTCCTAATATCCACGGGCGGAGAGGATGATATCACTCCCAATATAGCAGGGGGTGTACAACCCTTCTGTGACATTTTTCCTAAAGGGCAGAGGGGGAGGGGAAGATATTACAGCCAATATCGCAGTGGGTGTACACCCCCTGGTGACCTTGTCCCTTATATCCTGGGAGGGAGAGGAAGATACTAGCGGCAATGTCGCAGGGGCTGTACACACCCACTGTGATATTTTTCCGAATATCCCGAGGGGGAGAAAATCATGCTACTTCCAATATCGCAGGGGGTGTACATCCTCCTGTGATATTGTTTCTTATATTCCGGGGGAGAGGATGACATTACTCTCAATATCGCAGGGGTTGTACACACCTCCTGCGATGCGGGGAGTAACAGCCAGCCCCTCTCCCCCCCTTGCTCTTAGGACCCCCATTGCAGGGGGTTGAGGCACCCACCGCGATGCGGGGAGGAATAGCCACCCCCCCTCCCGCCCTGGCTATTACGGTCCACATTAGTGGACTCACAGCCTGTCTACGATATCGTGAGTAATATCATCTCCGCCTCTGGAAATTATGATCTATTTCACAGACGAGTGTACACCATCGGTGCACAGACCTTGTACATCCGTCTCTATTGGGAGTAACATCGTCCTCGTCCTCCCTGAATATTAAGAACAGTATCACAGGACTGTTTCTACTCCCTGCAATATTGGGTGTCACATCCTCCTCTTCCACGTTGAAATTAGAAACAATATCAGTGGCGGCTTGTACACCTTCTGTGATATTTAAAGTAATATCATCCTCTTCCCTCCAGGATCATGGGAATAATATCCTTGGGCGGTGTACGTTTTCTGCGATATATGTGGTAATATCATCCCCTTTGCCTTGGAATATTATGAAGGACCATCTCACATGGGGTTGTAGAACCCTTGCGATATTGGGAATATTATTATCCTCTTTCCCCTCTGCATATTTGGATAAATATCAGAGTGGGTGTACACCTCCTGCGATATGGGGATTAATATCCTTTTCTTTCTTTCTAGATATTAGAAACAATATCACACGGGGGTTTACACTTTCTTCCATATCTGGAGTAATGTCATCCTCTCCTGTTCTGAATGGCAAGAACAATATCTCAGGGGGGATGTACACCCCCTGCCATATTGGGGTAATATTACGCTGTCTCCCCCTTGATATTAGGAACAAAATCCCAGCGTGGGTGTACACCTCCTACTCTATGGAAAGTAATGCGGTCCTCTCCCTTCCTGCATTTTAGGGACAATATCACAGGATGGGTGTACACAGCCTGCGATATTGAAAGTAATATCATCCTCTCCCCCTCCGGATACTAGGAACAATATCACAGAAGGGTTGTACACTCTCTGCGGTATTGGGAGTAATATCATTTTCGGCTTCCCTGAATATCTCCGGGTGGATGTACACCCACTGTTATATTGGGAGTAATGTCCTACTCTACCCCCTGGATATTAGGAGCAATATCACATAGTGGGTGTACACCCACGGCGATATTGGGGGTAATCTCATGCTCTACCTCCCTGGATATTAGGAACAGTATCACAGGTGGGTGTACACCCCCTGCAGTACAGAGAATAATATTCTCTTCTCTTCCTTTAGCTCTTGAGAACAATATCACATGGGGGGGGGTGGTACATCGCCTGCACTATTGGGAGTAATATCATTCTCTCTTATTCTGGATAGTAGGAAAAATATCACAGGCGGGGTTTACAACCCCTGTGATATTGAGAGTAATGTCATCCTCTCCCAACGCGGATATTAGGAACCATATCACAGGGGGCGTGTACACTTCTTCGATATTGGTAGCAATATCATCCTCTCCTCCCCGGACATAAGAAACAATATGACAGGCTGGGTGCACCCCCGCCCCCTATATGGGGAGTAATATCCCTCCCTGGATATTAGGATCCACGGTGGACACACAGCGTGTTTACGATTTTGTGAGTAATATCATCTCCACCTCTAGAAATCACGAACAATATCAAAGACGGGTGTGCACCCTCTGCAATATAGGGAGGAATACCATCCTCTCCCCCCTGGATATTAGAAACAATATCAAAGGAGTGTTTATAACCCCTGCGATATTGGGAGTAATATCATCCTCTCCCACGTGGAAATTAGGAACGGTATCACTGGAGGCGTGTACACCCCCTGCGATATGGGAAAGTAATATCATCTTCTTCCCTCCTGGATCATGGGAACAATATCACTGGGGGGTGTACACTTTCTGCGATATCATCTTCTCTGCCTTGGACTGAGAAGGACATGAAGGACAGTATCACGGGCGGGTGGAGGGGGCGTGTACATCTTCTGCAATATTGGGAATAATATTATCCTCTCTCCCCCTGCATATTAGGAAAGATATCACAGAGTGGGTGTTCACCTCCTGCGATATGGGGATTAATATCATCTTCTCCCCTTCTGGATATCAGGAACAGTATCACACGGGGCTGTACACTTTCTGCGATATTGGGAGTGATATCAACCTCTCGGCCTTTGAATATTAAGAACAATATCACAGGGTGGATATACAGCCCCTGCCATATTGGGAGTAATATCTGCCTCTCCCCTCCATGGAGATTAGGAACAATATCCCAGGGTGGGTGTGCACCTCCTGCTCTATATCATCCTCTCCCTTCTAGGATATTAATAACAATATCACAGGGTGGGTGAACACCTCCCGCTCTATGGGGAATAATATCATCCTCTCCCTTCCAGGATATTAATAACAATTTCACAGGGTGGGTGAACACAGCCTGCGCTACTGGAATTATTATCATCCTCTCCCCCTCGGGATGCTAGGAACAATATCACAGAAGAGGTGTACACTCCCTGCGATATTGGGAGTAATATCATACGCTTCTTCCGTGAATATTAGGAGCAATATCACCAGGTGGCTGTACATTCATTGCTATGTTGGCAGTCATGTCATACTCTACCCCCTGTATATTAGGATCGATGTCACGGGGTGAGTGTACACCCACTGCGATATTAAAACTAAAATCATGCTCTGCATCCCTGGATATTAGGAACATTATCACAGGTAGGTGTACACCCCCTGCGGGATTAGGAGTAATAATATTATCAATTATTAAACATCAATTATCAATTTTAATAATAATTATCAATGTTAATATTAATTAATAGTATAAGATTATTAATTGATATTTTAAATATATCATCATGCACAATTAAAATTAATTATTGATATGAATGTCATTTATCAATAATATTGGTTATTAAACTTAATATTAATTGTTATTTTATTAGCAACATCACTTATTGATTTAATTAAGATTAATTACTGATATCATTACTTCATTATTAATAGTGACATTACTATTAATTATTAATACTAATCATTAATTTTTTAACCAGGATTAGTTTTTACTCCCTTCATTGTAATTATTATCGATGATTAGTATTAATTTTTATTATATATATTAATATTAATAATTAATATAACTTTTCCTGATATCTGGAGAGGATATTACTCCCGATATCACAGAAAGTGTACACCGCTCTATGATGTTCTTCCTAATAGCCAGGGGGTAGAGGATGACATTATTGAAAATATCGCAGTGGGTGTACATCCCTTCGGTCATCTTGTTCCTAATATCCTAGGTGGGAGAGGATGATATGACCCCCAATATCGCAGGGGGCGGAGACCTCCCCCCATGATATTGTCCCTAACATCCAAAGTTGGAGAGGATGATATTTCTTCTGATTTTGCAGGGGGTGTACACCACCCCTGTGATATTGTTCCTAATATCCAGGGGGTGAGAGGATGATATTAGTCTCACTATTGCAGGAGGTGTACACTCCCTAGTGATATTGTTCCTAATATCCAGGGACGGAGAGGATGATATCACTCCCAATATAGCAGGGGGTGTACACCCCTTCTGGGACATTGTTCCTAATAGCCAGCGGGGGAGAGGAAGACATTATCCCCAATATCGCAGGGGTGTACACCCCCTTGTGATACTGTTCCTTATATGCTGGCAGGGAGAGGATGATACTAGTGGCAATATCGCAGGGGGTGTACACACCCACTGTGATATTGTTCCGAATATCCCGAGGGGGAGAAGATGATATTACTCCCAATATCGCAGGGGGTGTACATCCTCCTGTGGTATTGTTTCTTATATTCAGGGGGAGAGGATGATATGACTCCCAATACCGCAGGGGTTGTACACACCTTCTGCGATATTGTTCCTAATATCCCGAAGGGGAGAGCATACTATTACTCTCCATATCGCAGGGGGTGTACACCTCCTTTGTAATATTGTTCTTGATATCCATGATGGGAGAGGATGATATTACTCCCAATATCGCAAGAAGTGTACACTGGGGTTTCACAGAAGGAAATCTCACCATGGGAACTTTTGCTACCTTCAGCATTCAGGCACCACTTGCTCCTGTGTTATTAGTTCGTTTTTATTTTTAAGAGATGGGGTCTCACTCTGTTTCCAGGCTAGAATGTAGTGATGATATCATGGCTCACCGCAGCCTCAAATTACTGGGCTCAAGCGATCCTCCTGCCTCAGCTTCCCCAGTAGTTGGAACTACAGATGAGCGCCACTACACACCATCAACTCTTCATTGCTACCGTAGGCCACGTGGCTCCACCTTCACTTCCTCCCACCTGAAACACTTGACCCATCTGTCTGCAATGCAGTGCACAATGTAGTAAGAGAGAGCCTTTACCTCCTTAATTTATTAGAATCTTTGGACCTGGGCTGTCTCTAAGCTGCTGTTCTATAAATGAGCCAACAATGGCCTGGGCGTATGGACCCATGGGGTTTTTTATTTCTTCCCTACAGATTCACATCTGTTAGCTCAAAAGCCCACTGCTGCCAAACTCAAATTTGTACACATCCAGTTATTTTAAAAATAGTCCCAACAATTAGACTGTTAGCCATTTAGAGCCTGCCTGCTTTGCATGCCCTGTGAAACCTCACAGGACAAGTGTTACCTATGGATGAGCTGGAGCCTTGAAATTCTAAGGCCCCCAAGCTGCTGCCACCCTTGGGAGCTCTCTGACCCAGAAACCCTGTGAGACACAACTAGACACGTAAGCCCCTCTTCCCTCCCCTTCTCCTCCAGAGTTCCGTTTCCCTCCTCCTCTCCCCTTCTAGCCATAAACCTTTACAGAACAAATATTTAACGTCATTTAACAAAATCCAAATAAAGGCTTCCATTAAGCTAGAAATATAAGCAATAACTATCACATCAAAGCCAACTCTCAGGAGCCAACAGCAAAATCATACTTTGTCAAAAATAAAATCAGATCAAATTTAAGAATTTTTAAGGTGAATGTGCATGCAAAAGAATAATTTATGAACATGGTTAAGAGGTAGCCCAGCAGTTACAGTGCAGCTTACAAAGCATGAATGAGGAGGCTCCTTCATCTCTATCATGCAAACAGAGCTGCACAAGCTTATTTGTGTTGGCTTAATGTTTTCAGGTTGGCAAGGAAGAAAAGCTTAATTTTTATTTGTGATTAGAACCAGCATTTGAGGGGAAATCAGGATCAATTCTGTTTCAGTTACATGGCCATAGCTAGTCGGCTCAGGGCCTCTTTCCCTTCCTTCCTTCCTTCCTTCCTTCCTTCCTTCCTTCCTTCCTTCCTTCCTTCCTTCTCTCTCTCTCTCTCTCTTTCTTTCTTTCTCTTTCTTTCTTTGTTCTTTCTTTCGACAGGGTCTTATACTCCAGGCTGGAGTGCAATGGCGCGATCTCAGCTCACTGCAACCTCTGCCTCTTGGGTTCAAGTGATTCTCATGCCTCAGCTTCCGGAGTATCTGGGATTACAGGCGTACACCACCACACAAGGCTAATTTTTTTGTACTTTTTGTAGAGAGGGGGTTTCACCATGTTGGCGAAGTGATCCACCTACCTCGGCCTCCCAAAGTGCTGGGATTACGGGTGTGAGCCACCACACCTGGTCATCTATTTTCCTGTTTCTTTTTAACAACTGCCCAATTTGGGTCATTCTCTCAGTCGGACTCAGAGTGTGACCCACTGCTTAGCGCTACACTCGGTTTCCACATGTCTTTGTCTCCATGGCCGTCTGAAGACTGTGAAGCAGAGTTTCAGTAGGCTTTTTTCTTTTTTTGACAATTCCAACTGAAGCAGTTTTTGTTCCTCCATCCTCCTGAGATCATGTGATGAGTCAGTGGCTGCTCACAAGCATTTAAGACTCTTGAGAGAAGCAACATATAGGAAATGTTATCAGTAGGACTAATGACAGGATAATGCCAAGAGTTTGGAAAGTACCCTGAAACTAGGGTCCCCAAGAGCCGAGATTTAATCTCTTGATTTAACTAGATCAGTCGACGGTATTTCCCACGTCTGGTGGAGCACCTGGACCTGGCCTTTTATATTTCTAAAGATCCCAGATTTGGGCATCTATTCCTGATGTATTCATATAGAAATAGCATTTGTTTTTTCTTCTTCTGGTGTGGCAGTTTCAATCCGATGGGTGTTCCCGGCTTGCAGCTTGGATGTCTCTGGTGATATCATCAGGTTTCTGGTGAACTTTCTGTGTGGCCAACACAGCCTCAGGCACCAAGGTTGTCCAGGTATAAACTGTTGTAGCAATTTCTCTGAAGTCTCTATGAAGTCATCCAGCTCCCATTCACAGGGCTGTAAGGCTAAGAACAACCCCAGTTTAATGGGTTCAACAGTGTGATTTAAAAGTTATCAGACACCTGTGCTTGAGTCTTTTTTTTATGAATCTCTTGAAGTTTTGTGTCATAGCGATTTGCAAGTGCTTTCAGGAAAGCATCAGAGTAAATGATAACTGCTTGGTGGATGAAAAAAAAATTAAAATGGCCATGGTTAATGATCTCATGAGAGTTCATCTGAATTTTCATAAGAAAATTTAGTTATTCATGCGGTATATGACATTTTAAGATAACTGGAATTAAAGCTGATAACATTATACCAGGATATATCAGATTTCTAGGAATTTCATACAATTTCTGGAACACTTATATTAATAACATATAGCTATACAAACATAACATGATACTATATAACAAATAGCATCCTTTCTTATTTGATAACATAAAACATAAAAGTATAAAATACCAGAAGAAAATGTAGGACATTTTTATAATGTTGGATGAATAAAGGCCTTTCTTAGCATGGCATGAAATCCAGGTACCTAAAGGAAAATGTCTATGTCACATTTTAAAACTCTGAATAGAAAAAAAAAAAAACTACAAGGAAAGTAAAATGGCAAATGACTGACTGAAGAATATATTTGCAGTACATGTGACAGACCGTGGGTTAATATGCATCATATGTAAAGAGTGTCTACAAATTAACAAGAAAAGTATAGGCAGACAGAAAGAAAATGGACCACAGATCTGAAAAGGTGTGAGGTGTGGTAGGGCATGGTCAGGCTTGCTGCACTGAAACCTCAAGTGGGTGCGATGGTGCAGTAAGTAGTGGGATGTGGTGGGATGTACCTGTGATATAGAAGCATTCCCTTATATGTCACAAGAACGAATCTTTTTTTTTTTTTTGAGATGGAGTCTCGCTCTGTCACTCAGGTTGGAGTGCAGTGGCGTGATCTTGGCTCACTGCAACCTCCGCCTCCCGGGTTCAAGTGATTCTCCTGCTTTAGCCTCCCAAGTATTTGGGATTACAGGCACACACCACCACACTCGGCTAATGTTTTTATATTTTTGGTAGAGATAGGGTTTCACCATGTTGGTCAGGCTGGTCTTGAACTCTTGACCTCAAGTGATCCACCCCCCTCAGCCTCCCAAAGTGCTGGGATTACAGGTGTGAGCCACTGCACCCAGCCCAAGAATGAATCTTGAATGCCGATCAACCCTTGACCCCAAACTAAAATATTGTAAAACCACAAGTTCTGGCTTGCTCTGATCTCCTCTGAAATAATGGATTCTTCACTCCGTAGGGGCTGCTGAGAGCACTACACTTCTGGCAACCTCCTCAGGAAACCAAGGGAGATAGGCAAGCTACACTCCCTTCCTGGCATGCTTGATTTTGCCAAGTACAAGTGCAGGCAATGACATCAAATGTTTCACCTCTCAGACGGCAAAAATGCAAATGATTGAGCACCTCGAATTTTGATGACAGTGTAGTGCAAAAGGCCTGTCCACACGTTACTGATAGACATGAGAATCTGGCAATATCTATAGATATTTTGAATGCGAATCCTCTATCAGCAGAATGGCATGTGGATTAGCTTGAGAAACTAGAGACTAACACATCTATGTCCTTCTCAGCCCAATTAGACAGAATCGAGTCATTTTAACCTTAGGGACTGCACTAAGAGTGCCAGTTACAGGATTTATTGCTAATGATTTATAGGGCTCCAAATGACAGTGCTTACAAATCTATAGATTCTTGAAGAGAAAGGAGCACTCTACAGCTAACATTAAAGTCAGGATGTGTGCAGGGCATGGTGGTGCATACCTGTAATCTCAGCACTTTGGGGAGCTGAGGTGGGAGGATTGCTTGAGACCAGGAGTTCGAGACCAGCCTGAGCAACAGAATGAGATTCCCATTGCTACAAAAAATTTAAAAATTAACTAGGCCTGGGCTGAGTGCAGTGGCTCACGCCTGTAATCCCAGCACTTTAGGAGGCTGAGGCAGGTGGATCACCTGAGGTCAGGAGTTTGAGACCAGCCTGGCATACGTGATGAAACCCCATCTCTACTAAGAATACAAAAAATTAGCTGGGTGTGGTGGTGCACACCTGCAATCCCAGCTACTTGGGAGGCTGAGGCAGGAGAATTGCTTGAACCCAGGCGGCAGAGGTTTCCGTGAGCTGAGATCATGCCATTGCACTCCAGCCTGGGTGACAGAGGAAGACTCTGTCTCAAGAAAAACAAAACAAAACAAAACAAACAAACAAACAAAAACTAGGTGTGGTGGCACACCCCTGTAGTCCTAGCTACCCAGGAGGCTGAGGTGGGAGGACGCTTAAACCTAAGAGTTGGAGGCGTCAATGAGATATGATCATGCCACTGGACTCCACTGTGCAACAGAGACCAAAGAAAAAAAAAAGAAGAAGATGTGCATCACAGCTATGGCCAGCTCACAGCAAGGGGTCTGGCAGGGCCGGTTTGGGTTTCTATTGTCCTCTCTACTGTATGGTCATGGCAAAATGCACTTCCTCTTTCAGATACAGAACCCTTGGCAGGTGCACAGAGCACCACAGAACTAAGGGGCCCAAAAGAGAGTCTCGGCTGGGGTTTTTTATGTTTCACAGGTCACATACACAAATTCCTGTTACATAACTAGCTTCTGCAGCACAGCTCTCTGGGGGTCTCACCAGGAGAAAATCAGTCTTACTGTTATCAATAAACAATGCTGACAAGTTGGTACAAACCACGCCAAACTCCTCCTTGCCCCCCTGCCTACAAAGCGACACTATTCACCGGCTTTCCTGCCTTGGGCAACATCAGTGCCAGGCAGCAAGTTTAGTACAACCGCTCAGTTTCATTCTAGACATGCTGCAATTCACCCTCAGAGCACAGGAACTAAACAAGGAAGAGGTGTGTTTATTGGGTTTTTGGGCAAAAAAGGAAAGATAAATGCAACTGATTTGTCCCTTCCCACGGTTCCGCATCCCTCATTCCAAATGCAGTACTCACGTTCCGGGCCCGCCCCCTCAGGATGGAGCTCTCAGGGTCATGAATCGGCATTGGACCTCCATGTTCGGTGGTGTGGCTTGTTTTTACAGGTTACTTAATAGGATCCAGGTTGGGTTACGAGCAACCTATAAATAAACCAGATGCGCTCCACAGAGCCCCAGACCCAGGCCAGCTCTTCTGCTGATCATATGCTACCTATCACACGCGCACACTCTGTTTATATCTACCAGACACAGGCCTGCCAAGGCTGTTCCATCAGGACAGAGGAATGGTGGATATCTTTTATACTTTGCCCATCATAATTTTCTTCCTGGAAGTGTGGGTGCACCTCCTTTGCAGAGGTGGGTGCCTGACTCAGCCGGCCTATCCCATGAGTGGATTGCAGAGGTTCACAAACCATTTGGACCTAGCCACTTGGTAATTGAACTGTTCAGTATTTCTGTGACCTAGGGAAGCTGTGAAAAAAATTGCTGAAACACTAAGGCTCTCAGACACTAACTGCAGAACCTCTGCCATGCTGGTGCTTTGGGCAGAGCCATTCCCAGGACTTCTGTGGGAGAAATAGGTAGGAAAGATGGACGCCCTTCCCTCTGGGGCTGCTAGTTAAAGGACAAGGCAAATCTAGATCTCTGATGGTCATCTTTTCCATGTTGTACAAAGGTCATTCCTGGGAAAGAAACCCACGTGGAGGAAAGCAGACCTGAGAGAGACAGGAGTCCTAGGCCAGGCACGGTGGCTCATGACTGTGATCCTAGCACTTTGGGAGGCCAAGGTGGGGGCGGATCGCTTGAGGTCAGGAGTTCAAGGCCTGTCTGGCCAATATAGTGAAACCCCATCTCTACTAAAAGTACAAAATTAGTGGGGTGTGGTGGCACTTGCCTGTAATCCCAGCTACTTGGGAGGCTGAGGCAGGAATCACTTGAACCTGGGAGGTGGAGGTTGCAATGAGCTGAGACTGAACCATTGCACTCCAGCCTGGGCAACAGAGTGAGACTCTGTCTCAAAAAAAAAAAAAAGTCCTAGTATATAGTTGAGCACCTAGAACCAACCTTACCTGAAGCAGGGACATTGCTGGACTTTTCATTTTATGACCTAATTCATTCCTGAACCAGTCAGCATTCCTAGCTGCTAACAAAGTGAACCCAAACTAGCTTAATCAGAAAAGCAATGTATTACCAAATATTAGGTATCTCAGAAGCTCTCTAGGAGAGAAGGAAAAATGGCCTATATACAATCTGTGTCCAGAAGAAACACCCTCAGGAACAGCACCCAAAATCACACTGAAAAGTGGTTTAGTGGGAAGCACTGGTAGGCACAGACAGCTCTGACTTCAGCACCATTGTCACCAACGTGACCAATGCTGGATACACGACTACAGCCTCTTATGCTGTTGGCTCTGGAAACAGGATGTAACTGCTGCCATTATCCCCAGAATAGATTCTGGAGGGAGCTCATGATTTGAAGTCTAATATGGGTACATCTGTTTGGCTGCATCTCTGCATCAAGAGAGGCTGGGAATGAGTATCTGATTTCTGTAGTCAGAGGCTATTGCCACATCCCACCAAGAGCTATAGAGCAGGGAGCGCCCCCAAATGGAGGAAAAGTGTTTACTGGGCAAAAAGAATCACCAAAGTCTACAAAGCCTTTGACTACCCAACATCAGCAAGTACACACACACACACACACACACACACACACACTTAAATAAACAAAACAAAGTAACAGAAAATAATATTTATAAACCCCTTTTAGCCCACATACACACAAAAATACTCTTTTCAAAAGGGGATCAGGACACATCAGTTACTGCATCCAGCTCCAAGTCAGCTTCCAATTCCATCCCAGGGCAGATCACCTATGTCTTCATTCCAGCTTCTTGGTGGCTGGGAAAGTGAGTTTACCGATCAAGTGCTGGGTGGCTGTGATGTTTTACAAATGTCCACCAGAGTCCATGTCAGTTTCTCTCCTCCTCTCCTTCTCTCTCCCTGTCATTCCTTCTCTCCTGTCTCTCATTCTTTCTCTCTCTTTCTCTCTGTCATTCCTTCTCTCCGTCTCTCTGTCTCTCATTCCTTCTCTCTCTCATTCCTTTTCTCCTCTTTCTCGTTCCTTCTCTCTCTTTCTGTCATTCCTTCTCTCCTTCTCTCTCATTTCTTCTCTCCTTCTCTCTCTCATTCATTCTCTTTCTCTCATTCCTTCTCTCCTTCTCACTCTCATTCCTTATCTACTTCTCTCTCCCTCAATCTTTCTGTCATTCTCTCTCTCATTCCTTCTCTACTTCTCTCTCCCTCAATCTTTCTGTCCTTCTCTCTCTCATTCCTTCTCTCTTTCTCTCTCTCATTCCTTCTCTCTTTCTCTCTGTCATTCCTTCTCTCCTTCTCTCTCTCTCATTCCTTCTCTTTCTCTCATTCCTTCTCTCCCATTCCTTCTCTCCTTCTCTTTCTCTCATTCCTTCTCTCTCTCACTCCTTCTCTCCTGTCTCTCTCATTCCTTCTGTCCTTCTCTCTCTCTCTCATCCTGTCTCTCTCTCTCATTCTTTCTCTCCTTCTCTCTCTCATCACTTCTCTCTCTCTCTCATTCCTTCTCTCTCTCTCGCTCTCTCTCATCCCTTCTCCAATCTGCATATAAGGGGACCCATACAGTTCAAACCCATGTTGTTCAAGGCTCAACTGTAATTGTACATGTAGAAAATCTAAAATAATCTACGGATAAGCCATTAGATTATAATAAATTTAGTGGGCTCCCTGGATACAAGGTCAGTATACAGAAATGCATTGTATTTCTTCATACTAAGAGACAAACAATAATAAAATGAAATAAATAATTTATGATATTAGAACACATCAAATACCTAAGAATATATCCAGGAAATAATTTTCATGACACTGAAACTACAAAGCATTGTTAAAATAAGTGAAAGACCTAAATAATTGGAGAGATACTATGAATTGAAAAATTCAGTTTTGTCAAGAATTCAATTATTTTCAAATTGATCTATAGATTCAATAAAACACTAGCAGATATTTTTATTGAAATTGACAAGTTGATTTGATTCTAAAATTTATATGGAAATAAAAACGACCTAGAGTAACAAAAGCAATCTTGATAAAGAACAAGTTGGAAAATTTACATCACAAGATCTAAAAGATTCATTGTAAATCCACAGTAATTAAGAGTATGGTATTGCACAAGGCCAGACAAATAGACCAATGGAACAAAACAGAGAATCCAGAAACAAACTGTATAAGTTCTGTTGGTCTATTTGTTTAACCTTGTGTTTGTACCACCACCTCATTTACAACAAAGGCACCCTGCAATGCAGTAGGAGAAGGAAGGTCTTTGCCACAAATGGTGATGATCAATTAGATATTCATATGGGAAAAAAGTGAAATTTTTTTTTGAGATAAGTTCTCACTCTGTCTCCCAGGCTGGAGTGCAGTGGCATAATATTGGCTCACTGTAACCTCCACCTCCCAGGTTCAAGTGATTCTCATGCCTCAGCCACCTGAGTAGCTCGGATTACAGACACGCACCACCATGACTGGCTAATTTTTGTATTTTTAATAGAGATGGAATTTCACCATGTTGGCCAGGCTGGTCTTGAACTCCTGGCCTCATGTTATCCACCCACCTCAGCCTCCCAAACTGTTGGGATTACAGGCATGAGCCACTGTGCCCAGCCAAAGAAAGTGAATCTTGATTCCCTCCTCACATCACACATAAAAATCAATTGCTGATTATGACAGATTTAAAGCTTAAAATAAAACAATAAAACTTACAGAAAAAATCAGAGGAGGATATGTTCACGATCTAGGGATATGCAAATATTCTACACAACATTAAAAGAACTGATAGATAGAAGAAAACATTTATAACTTGGACTTCACTAAGAAATTTTGTACATTAAAATATACCAGTAAGAGTACACCCGTGTTTATAGCAACACTATTTACAATAGCTAAAAGGAGGAAGCAACCCAAGTGTAAATGTGATAGAGGCAGGAGATGGCCAAATGCTGAGGCAGATAGGAAAGGGTCCCTGGAGAAACTCCGACCCACCCCAGGTTACACCAGATGAAATCACCAGATGTAATCACCAGACACTTTATGCAGATAAGGGAACTTGCACAGGGAGCTTGCCTGGGCATACCCACAGCAGACTGGAGGCCCACATGCCCTGGGGGAATGGGGTGGAGCTACCAGAAATTCACACTTTATGCAGGGGAGGATCCTGACCTCTTCAGCTTGTGTCTAGTGGCTCCGGTATTCAATTTGTGAAATGGAAATCTGCTTGCAGAGCCCCTCTCTTTGCTGAGAGCTTTCCTTTCACTGAGTAAATTCTGCCCACCTCACCCTTCAATGTGTCTGCATGCCTAATTTTTCTTGGTCGTGAGACAAAAACCTGGATTTAGCTGAACTAAGGAGCAAAAACCCTGCATCAAATGGATGAATAGATAAACAAACTGTGGTACAACAAAGATTGGTGCAAAAGTAATTGCAGTTTTCGTTTAATTTTTAACTTTTAATTGCAAAAACCATAATGACCTTGGCAACAACCTAATATATATATCCAATATTAGTTAGCCTTGAGAAGAAAGGACATTTTGACACATGGTACAACATGGATTACCCTTGAAGACGTTATGCTAAGTGAAATAAGCCAGGCCAGGTGCAGTGGGTCACGCCTGTAATCCCCATACTTTGGGAGGCTGAGGCGGGTGGATCACTTGAGGTCAGGAGTTTGAGACCAGCCTGGCCAACATGGCAAAACCCCATCTCTACTAAAAATACAAAAATCAGCTGGGTGTGGTGGCATGGACCTGTAATCCCAGCTACTCAGGAGGCTGAGGAGTATTGCTTGAACCCAGGAGGCGGAGGTTGCAGTGAGCCAAGATCATGCCACTGCACTCCATCCTGGGCGACAGGGTGAGACTCTGTCTCAAAAAAAAAAAAGAGAGAGAGAGAAATCAGTCACAAAAAAAATACTGCATAATTTTGCTCATATGTGGTATTTAGAGTAATCAAATTCATAGGAACAGAAAGTAGAATGGTGATTGCCAGTGTATAGGGGAAGGGGGAATGAGGCGTTATTGTTTAATAGGTAGAGAGTTTCAGTTTTGCAAGATGAAAAAAGTTCTGGAGATAGATGGTAGGGATGGTTGCACAACGATGTGAATGTACTTAATGCCACTGAACTGTACACTTTGTAATGGTTAAAATGGTAAATTTCATATTATATATATTGTACCAAAAATTTAAAAATACATATACCAGTAAGAGGGTATATATCAGTAAGACACTATCAGTTTAGGGACCACCTTGAAATTGTTAGTGCCTCAAGCCACAGCCTGAGAGAAGATATTTATGATAAATATATCTGACAAAAGACTTCAATGTAAAAAAAAAATAAATTCTTCAATCAATAAGAAAAATAACAGAATAAAAATGGGCAAAAGGCTTGGACAGGCATCTCACAAAAAAAGAGATTAAAGGGGCCAATAAGCACATGGATACCAGTATCATATGTCATCAAAGAGGCCGGGCACTGTGGCTCACGCCTGTAATCCCAGCACTTTGGGAGGCTGAGGTAGACGGATCACGAGGTCAGGATATCGAAACCATCCTGGCTAACACAGTGAAAACCCATCTCTACTAAAAATACAAAAAACTAGCCAGGCGTGGTGGCATGCACCTGTAGTCCCAGCTACTAGGGAGGCTGAGGCAGGAGAATCCTTGAACCCAGGAGGCGGAAGTTGCAGCGAGCTGATATTGTGCCACTGCACTCCAACCTTGATGACAAGAGCTAAACTCCGTCTCAAAAACAAACAAACAAACATATGTCATCAAAGAAATATACATTAAAATCACAATCACAAAGATATCACTACATGCTCAGCAAACTGGCTAAAATTTTTTAGGGACGATACAAATGATGGTGAGGATGTGGAACAACTGGAACTCTAACCATTACTGGTGGGAATGAAAATAGATACAATCACTTCAGATGTGTTTATTAAAGCTAAAATATGTACACTCTACAAACTGTAATTCTACTACTTGCTATATGTGCAAGAGAAGTGAGTGTATAAAACTACCAAAACATACTGTATTCATCTGTTTTAATGCTGCTAATAAAGACATACCTGAGACTAGGTAATTTATAAAGGAAAGAGGTTTAATGGACTCGCAGTTCCACATGGCTGGGGAGGCCTCACAATCACGGTGGAAGATGAAGAAAGAGCAAAGGGGCTTCTTACATGGCAGCAGGCAAGAGAGCATGTGCAGGGGAATTCCCATTTATAAAGCCATCAGATCTTGTGAGACTTACTCACTACTACAAGAACGGTATGGGGGAAACTGCCCCTATGAGTCAATTACCTCCCACCAGGTCCCTCCCACGACATTGGGGATTATTACAGTTCAAGGTGAGATTTGGGTGGGGACACAGAGCCAAACCATATCACACACATTAACAGGGATATACATAACAGCTTTATTTATAATAGCCTCAAGCATGTTCATCATTAGAATGAAGAATGCATTTTGGTATATAACGGAATTTCACTGCAGTAAAAAATAATTAACTAAAGCTACACATAACCACACAGATGAATTTCACAGATATATCTCTGAGTACAAAAGAGTACTGTATGATTTTATGTATATGAATGTCAAGGACAAGGAAAACTAATCAATGGTGACAAATCAGAAGAGTGGATATCGCAGGCAGAATAACAGTTTCCCAGAATGTCCCATCT